>NC_000014.9:77945046-78096561 GCF_000001405.40 Homo sapiens | reverse complement strand
TTTGGGTTCGTCCCTACCCAAATCTCATCTTGAATTGTAGCTCCCATAATTCCCATGTGTTGTGGGAGGGACCCAGTAGGAGTTAATTGAACCATGGGGGGCAGTTTCCCCCATACTGTTCTCGTGGTAGTGAATAAGTCTCATGAGGTCTGAAGGTTTGATAAGCAGTTTCCCCTTTCATCTGGGTCTCATTCTTTTTTGTTTGCCACCATGTAAGATGTGACTTTCGCCTTCTGCCATGATTACGAGGCCTTCCCAGCCACATGGAACCGTGAGTCCACTAAACTTCTTTTCTTTAAAAATTACCCAGTCTCAGGTATGTCTTTATCAGCAGTGTAAAAATGAACTAATACAGTGTCTCTCTGCAACCTGAAACTATGGTGGAGTTAGCATGGTAGGGAAAACCTTTAATAACTGTGTTGTGGTTGAACTGCATCCCTCAAAAAGATATGCTGACATGCTAACCCCTGTGTTTGTGAATGTGACCTTACTTGGAAACAAGATCTTTACATATGTAGTCAAGTTAGGATAAGGCTATACTTGATTAGGATAATTCTTAAGTCCAATGACTACTGTCCTTTTAGGAGAGGGATTTACAGACACACAGACACAAAGGAAAGATGGCCAAGTGAAGACAGAGGCAGAAATTACAGTAATGCAACTATGAGCCAATAAATGCCGAGGGTTGCAAGCAGCCAATAGGAGCTAGGAAGAGACAAGAAAGGATCCTCCCCTAGAGCCTGCAGAGGGGACATGGCCCTACCGACAGCTCAGTCTCAGACTTCTGGCCTTCAGAACTATGAGAGAATAAATGTCTGTTGTTTTAAGTCACCCAGTTTACAGTAATTTGTTATGGCAGCCTTAGGAAGCTAATACAGATGATGGATAGAAGTGAGTAGATGGATTCTTCTTCCTCACCCACCCGGGACAGGTGGTCCAGGAACATGTTTCATATGGTGCCTCAGATCTCCCTAGGGATCCATCACCCAGTCACCCACAGCTGTGGCCAACACAATAGTTCATCTTTGTTTTAGTTCCCCCTTCCCCCTTGATTTGTTCTTCTTGCCCCTCATCCCTGCCCCGTGGGATCACTCCCCAATAAGTCATTTGTCTCAGGTTCTGCTTTTTGGGAAACTCAGGTATAGGGTCCTCCAGTTTCCCCATGTTTTTCTCTAATACAGACTGCCATGACCTCTGTGTTAGCTGGTCAGCTGCATGTTTCCCCATGCAGGCTTCAAGCCCAGCCAGGACCTTTAATATTCCCAGACACTGAGAGAGCTGTTTAGGTTGCTGCCCAAAACACTGAATAAACTAGCCCTGGCCCTGGGCCAAAATCCTGAAACCCACAGATAAACACCATGCCTAACCCCCTGGCTACAGACATACCTAGGTAGACCATCCCTTTCTCTTGATGCCTGTTGTGAGGACTACTGCAAGCGCTAACTTAGAAGCACTAAGTTCCTCTAACAAATGCTTTGGACTGATCACCCCAGTGTTTAGTGCTTCTGTTTTTGAACTCCCAACCAGCCCCATCTCAGGACACTTTGGGGCAGCCCCTTGCAGGAATACTACTTTTGTGGCAACTCCATTCACAGGTTCTTCCAGACAGAACACCAGGTTAAAATAGTTTTTACCTGGCATATAGTTGACATTTGATAAATATTTATTGGCTGGCTGAATAAATGAATGAAGATATGAATGATGAACCAATCCCACCTTCAAGAAGCTTTCAGTCAAATTGCTAACAAACACAATTTAAAGAATAAATTATAGGGGTATTTGAAATTCCTAGCTACCTGGCTCAGCATACAGGGTAAGGCGGAACAGCAATTTCTAAAATTTTCAGTGGTTTCTATCCCTGCTTCTCTCCACCCACGTATCAGTTACGGTTTTTAACCACAAACAACACAATCCCACTCTGATTTAAGAAGTAAAGAAATGTATTAAAGTGGTAAGTGGTGGCTCACACCTATAATCTCAGCACTTTGGGAAGCCAAGGTGGGAAGATAGTTTGAGGCAAGGAGTTCAAGACCAGCCTGGACAACATAGTGAGACCCCCATCTCTACAAAAAATACAAAAATTAGCTAGGCCTGGTGGCACATGCCTGTGGCCCTGGCTACTCTGAAGGCTGGGATGGGAGGATCACTTGAGCCCAGGAGTTCAAGGCTGTAGTGAGGAGCCATGATCACATCACTGCACTCCTGCCTGGGTGACAGAACAAGACTCTGTCTACAGGGGGAAAAAAAAAAAAAAAAAAAGGATACTAGGGACCTTAAAGAATTTCCAAGAAAGTCAGTCTCAGAAGAACAATATCTAATCACTTCATAAGGGTATCTCTGGGAAATACAAAGCCAAGGGAAAAAATTAGCCACAAATCAGATTCTTCTGGGTGAATAAACTAGTCCCTGGCTGTAATCTGGGAAATTCAAGAAATACATAAAGCAGCTTTGGCCTTGGGGAGGTCTCTCTGAACAAAATTATTTAATATGATATGCCAATTCTGGGGTTTCCAGATCCTAGTAGCAGAGTGAAATGTTTTCTACCCCCAAGGTCTTTTCTCTCGTGAAAACTGAGCCTTTCCATCTCTGTTGAATCCACAGACCACTCTGTTATTGAGCCAAGTACAGGGAATAGAGCCAACCAAACCTCACCTGCCCCTTGGCCCTGTATTATAAATCCAGACCCTTCAGGGAAAACTGATTAGTATCTCTTTTCCAAGGCCTTCAGCTATTATTAAAATTTCCGGAGCCTGCCTATCTGGTAAGTAGCTAAAGCAGAATTCCAGCCCAGGATCTGGGTCCTTGAGGCTCAAAGCCTGGTTTGTGGACAGGGAGTGTCCACATTACCGGAAGCTTCTTACAAATGAAGAATCTGGGGCTCCACCCAGACCAGCTGAGCCAAAATTCAAAGTTTAACAAGATGCCCAGGTGATCTCTAGGCACAGAACTTTGAGATGCTCTGGTCTGCTGCTCTTTCCTTAATTCCAATGGTTTCCAAGTCTGGCTAATTGTTGGAATCCCATAGAGATTGTTATTAAAATAAAGATTCCCAAGCCCTGTTATTTTTTTTCTTTTTTTATTTATTATTTATTTATTTATTTTGAGATGGAGTTTCACTCTTGTCACCCAGGCTGGAGTACAATGGCACTATCTTGGCTCACTGCAACCTCTGCCTACCGGGTTCAAGTGATTCTCCTGTCTCAGCCTCCCGAGTAGCTGGGATTACAGGTGCCCACCACCACGCCCAACTAAATTTTGTATTTTTAGTAGAGATGGGATTTCACCAGGTTGGCCAGGCTGGTCTCGAACTCCTGACCTCAAGTGATCCGCCCGCCTCGGCCTCCCAAAGTGCTGGGATTACAGGCATGAGCCACCTTACCTGGCCAGATGAAATTATTTAATAGGCTTGGGGTAATGGAATAGGGCCCAGGCATCTGTATTTTCATGTTTAAGTTCCTTGGCGGTTCTTGTGATCAGCTAGGTTTGGGAATTGGTACCCTAGAGTGTATAGCTCTTGTCCTCCAGTAACCAGCCTCCCAATCAACATTACAGCAAACTCAGGAATCTTAGAAGACCAGACTCCAGGGACAATGGCCAATCACCCCAGAAACCTGACACAAACGCAGACTCCCAGCCTCACCCCCAGAGCCTGGCTGGGAAGGTCTGGACAGAGCTATCTTAGGACTTCAGGAAGCCCCAGTACTCTTGCTGTGGGGAACACCACCCCACATCATAACAAACATATGAAAAGCCATCTGCATCCCACATTAAATATAAATGATATGTAACTATGTGAGAGTGAGTTGACTTGTGGTTGATGAGTTGACATAGTTATATTTCCTAGACATTTAATTAAACATTTATTAATTTTGATTTTGCAACTTTCTTTTTGTTTACTATGGCCAGTAGTTTATTTTTCCTCAAGGATAACTGTTCCTTCCAGCCCCTGAAGAGCTAGTTTATAAGCTCTTCCACAAGCCACTACCCCTAACACACTCAATGGGCAAGATGGGGGTAGGCCTAGGGAGGGCTTGGGACTTTGCGTCTTAACAAGAGCCCCCAAGGTGGCCCTGGTGAGGTGGTCCCCAGACCACTGGCCTTCAGAGAGATGAGGGTGGATCTCTGGGGCAAGCCTGAAGTCAAACTGGCAGGCTGGATGGAGAGCCATCAGGGCTGGGAGCAGGAGGGAGTCTAGAGCTCCACTGACCGGCAGGCACACCCTGTGATTCCAGAGAAGCCCTCTGAGCAGGGCACATTCCCCTTGAGGATCGCCTAATACAAAAACGGTGGTGTGTAGGGAATGCTGCAAAACCCTGTTCCATCGGCATTGCTCAGACTATGACCCTGGGGCCACAGCTGGCCCCACACCAAAACAAGCAGGATTTGAAAGGATCCGAAGAGCATTACAAAGCACATAAGCAGCTAGGAAGTGGATGGTTAGAGAAAACAGGGTTATTTATTTGGAAAAGAGGGGGCCAGATGACCCACGATGATCTCCAAGCCAATAGCGAATGATTGCATGAACAGGCCTTCCTGCCTGAGCCTGGGCATGTGGTCTTGGAGGGGGTCCCGATGGGGCAGGCCTGCCAGAACCTCTCTGGGAAGTCTGATGATCTTCCTGGGGATCTTGCAATCCGAGGAAGCCCAGGGCCAGACCCCAGGGATGAATCTAGTCAGGCTCTCAGACCTATTCCCGGCCACTCCTCAGGGAAACCAGGTCAGAAGTCTGGAGGATAGGGGGATGCTGTACATAAAAAGTGAAAAGACAGACCTCAAGGGAAAATCTATGCGGGCAAGGCAGATGCAGAGCTGTGTGAGGACACCACTTCCCTGCAGACTGTGACCATGAAAATACACTAAAAGGACTTATCTGCCCTCACCCTCACCCCCAGCAATCCACGCTTCACCACAGACACAGAGGGTAACCTTGGTAGCACAAAGCCTTCAGAGACAGGATGGACAGGCCTGGTGAGAGACGATGGGAAGGGTGGTGGTGTCTGCTAAGAAATAGCTGGAAGCTTGGTGAGAGAAGGGGCCGGCAGGCTCTGGGGAACACAGTGTGATGGGCTGCTGAGCAGCTCAGATGTGATCACGCAAGACCCCCTGCCACCAGGCACTTCCAGCAAGCTCAGGGATGAAAGAACTTTGCAGGGGTGAGGTTCCAGGTAAGTAGGTAAAGTCCGAAGCCAGGGAAACAGGTCACTGTTGTCCGTGTGACTGATTCACACTCTCATATTGGTAAGGTCTGAGAAATAGGTCACCAGGGTGAACAGTCAGTGGTGATGGCCAGATGGCCAGATCAAAGAGGGAGCTTAATGGCACTGACTTTGATTCTGCCCCAAATGGTAGATGCTCGGGATCCCGCAAAGAGCTCAGTCACAGAGTCCATAGATGTGAACAAAACCAAGAGAAAGGAAGCAACCAACCTACGTGCTGACAGCTACAGACCCGGGCTGGGTGATTTACGTTCATTAACTCAGTGAATCCTTCCCATGCCTCCAAAGGCAGGCATTGTTATCCCCATTCTCAGGCAAGCAAACAAGGGCAGAGAGATTCATCTCTTGCTCAAGGTCACACAGCCAGTACACAAAGGAGCTTGTATTTGAGCCCACTTCTGTCTGACACCAGAGAGCAGGTTCCCAACCCGTGTGCTATCCGTGCGGCTCTAGAGGCAGAACTAATAAAAGGGATGGAAGGAGGGTCAGCTCTGAAGATCTGGGCTCTGAGGCTCTGAAGAACCGTGTCCAGAAAGCCCTCCATAATAGGGTAGCAGGAGAAATCCACTCTCACATTGCCGATGCCCAGTGGTGAGGAAACCAGGAGATAAGCGCATTCTATGCCCCATTCTCTACCCACAGCCTGCTGAGCTTAAGGAGTCACTGCCAACCTCCCACTGCTTAGACCCTGCCCTGAGACTCAGTAGCCCGCATGTCCAATGGGTCAGCTGTGCCCAGAAGGTTAAAAAGCAATGCTCCCAATGACACCAGACCCCTGCTTTCCACTCTGCACCACACTGCAACGCATCGCCTACCCTAACCAACACACACACATAACCAAGGGCCCCGCATTTGGCTTCTGAAGTCACTCTGGTTCCAGGACTGCAGGGCCCTGCAGCTGTGGGAGCAGATGTTCCCCTTGCACATGGCTGGACTTGGATCTCAGTGGGGATGGACAAGCATCATTGACCAGGGTGGATGGGCAGCTGCAGAGAATGAGGAGGAGACACCAGCTCCCACCCCCACCCCATCTCCATCTGCAGGATAGTGGCCACCCACCTTCTGAGGCCAGGGAGAGCAAGAACACCTGAGACAGCTGAACATGACCACCCTCCCCACCATTGCTGCTGGGATGAGCACCCAGACCAGGGCACCAGAAAGCCACGGAAGCCACAGCCACTAGCCCTGAACCTTGCACACCCCTGGAGTTTCTCTCCCCTCCCTGTCCCCTCACCAACACCTTCCAGTGCTTATTCTGCTGTGTCAAAATGATCCTTCTGTTGCTGCACTGTCATTACTGTTGTATGGATTTATAATTATTGTCCAAAAAAGCCCCGAGCCTGGTACAGAAAAGGCATGGGGAAAGATGTGTCAGAATGCACAGTGATTGTTCCTGGATGTGAGGACGACACCCGACTTTCACTTTTTCCTTTCTCTCTGTAATTTATTTTCCTTGTGCTGCTTGTATGCTTTCTTATTTATTTAAAGCTAATCCGCATGTCACGGCCCTGGGCTCCCTTTTTATGTTGAGAATGAGATCCTCCGTGTAGGTCATTCACAATGACAAGCTCCCTGTGCCACTGATTACCTAGGAACAGGGAACACCCTTGGGCCTGAAGCAGGACTTCATCAGAAGGTACTAGAAGAGCATTGGGAGTAAGAGAGACTCAGACCAGTGGAGACAAGCTGGCTGAGGTAGGGTCAGAAACCCACGTGTGGTAAACTGGATGTGTTTATGTCTTATACTGTATGCATTTTTCTCTTCGGTTTCCCCTAAATGCTCTGATATATGTTGAATTTCTACATCTTTTGGCTACACCAAAATAGATTAAGGAAAAAGAGCTTTACCTGCACTGGGGCCTGATCTTTAAAGTGGGAAATAGCACCTCCCATGAATGACTATTTCAGTGACCACGGACATAATGTGTGAGGGTCCCTCCCCCAAAGGCCACTGAAACTCAGGGAGGAAAGAGCCCTTGAGTCGTATCATCCTTCCCTGCATGCAAAGCTGTCCTGCGAATGCTGAAAGGTTTGCTTCTGTTGTAAGGATTATTAAACTAAGAGAATTTTAATAAAAAGCATGATTCATTCATATGGGCACACACACACAGGAGCGTCATTCACCTCAGCTAATCACTATGTCTCTTGGAGATACTCCTCAGCCACCACAAAGCAGGCGGCTCATGTTGCACTCCTCCAAGTGGTTGTCTCTGTGAATGTCATCCCTTCGAGTGACACAGACCAGAGGCCAGCAATCCACAGACCATGGGCCAAATCCAGCTTGCCACCTGTTTTTGTAAGTAAAGTTTTATTGGAACAAAGCCATGTCCACTCATTTAGGAATTGTCTATGCTACTTTCATGCTACAACAGCAGAAGTGAGTCATTGTGACAGGGACTGTATGGTCCACAAAGCCAACAATGTTATCTGGCCCCTCTGCAAGTTTGCCACCTCCTGCTACAGACCAGGATGAGAATGGTTCCCCTCAAGTTGTGCAGTGCGCAGCTTTGAAGGGAGATTAGAGTTAGGGGCTACACAGGACAGAGCAGGACTGAGATGGGCAGACACAGCTCAGGACCCAGAGAATCCTCCTGGCTCAACTGTCCTTATTCTCAGCACCCTCCCCCAGGGCCACCAAAAGGCAGTGACCTTTGCAGAGAACTGAGAACTCTGGAGTGTGGCATCAGGTAGACTTGGGAATTATAAAGCAAGTCTCTAATTATCTTTTGTTATTTGCAAAATGGTATTGATGATAGAATCTCTCTAACAGGAATGTTGTGAGAATCAAATTAGGAAACATAAGTGGCATGTTTAGCATTGTACCTGCCGCATAGTAAGCATTCGACAGATATGAGGAGTAGTCACGGTGGCAGTATCCACCAAAGCATTGTCCTTAGCCCACACTGCCTTACTCTAGTGGAAGCAGCCATCCGCTTGCTACTCTGATAAGATCATGGGAATAAAAGGTAGGACCCCAGAAGGGCTCTGCTCATAGCCTCGCACCCAGACACCATGATGGCATTGGAAGCTTCCTTTGGCTACAGCAAGCTGTTAATTCTCTGGAATGATTTCAGTAAAAGATTTTCTCAGTAATATCGATCAGGTCCCCTAATTGAACAGCACACGCACATGAGCACACATACACAAAACCAAATAGACTTAGGACATCTCCAAATTCTTTACACAGTAAAAAGGAAGGGATGTGAACAGAGGGGCCAGAAGTACACCACAGTTTGCTATTTCCTGATGTCTTTCAGATCATTAAATTAGGCCCTAGGTTGTTGGGTTTTTTAACTGAGTGCATTTTGTAGACTGATCTGTGTGGGGAGATTCAAGATACCCTAAGTCACAAATGTGCAGACATCCTCATCCTGTAGACCGTAATAAAGCTCCTAGAGCAGATAACCCCAAAGGAGGAGAGAGGCTCCCCTATAGAAGAGGCAGGCAGGAGAACAGGATGGAACCGGAGACGTGGCTGTGGAGGTACCTAATCAAAGAAATTCCAAAATAATTTTCCTTTCTATGAAGCGCTTTGCACGGTTGGCTACTTTTCTGCAAGCTCTCCCCTTTTCTTCAATATTGTCTTAATTTTGTGCAAGTAGTTGCTAATACATTTTTAACACCTGTTAATCTCCCTTTTTAAAAGCAGGTTATTGGCTAGCCTGGCAATTACTGTAGTCCCAGCTAAGGATCAGGAACAGAACTCTGATACTACATTTTCTCAGACGTGAGAAACTTTTAGTTATAAGAGTTACCATCGGCCAGGCGCGATGGCTTACACCTATAATCCCAGGACTTTGGGAGGCCAAGGTGGGTGGATCACGAGGTCAAGAGATCAAGATCATCCTGGCCAACATGGTGAAACCCTGTCTCTACTAAAAATACAAAAATTAGCTGGGCATGGTGGCCGGCACCTGTAGTCCCAGCTACTCAGGAGGCTGAGGCAGGAGAATCACTTGAACCCGGGAGGCGGAGGTTGCAGTGAGTCAGGATTGCGCCACTGTACTCCTGCCTGGCGACTCTGTCTCAAAAAGAAAAAAAAAAAAAAAAAAAGTTACCATTGGTTTAATAACAGCTCTTGAGGGAACCACCGCATCTAAAATGCACATACTGACTTTAAGACATAACAAGATGCAAATATATTAAAATGTGGGGGGCAGGGGTAGCAGGTGGATCTTACAATAGAGGAGAAAAAATTTTAAATTCCACCAGCAACAATAGCTACCATTTATTGAGCAACTACTATGTTCCAGGGACTATGCTATGGGCTTTCTCTGGGTTTTCTTGCTGAATTCCCATGCTAGGGTAAAGAAGATATTATTATCTCATTTTACAGATAAAGAAACTAAAACTCAGGGAGCCTTGATATCTAGACAGTTGAGCCCCAAAGTAACCAAATTCAGAGCAGCAGAGCTCCAAGAGTTTTTGTATCTTACCATTCCAAGAATGGAGCACCAGGGTCCCACCAGAGACCTCAGCCAGAAGCCAGTTCCCTGAAGTGAGACTAGCCCAGGAGGAGTGGAAAAGCCCAATCCCTTCCTCCAACAGGAGGCCACAGAGTGCGAACGCCTGCTGGGCCTGTGGGAACTTATGCTGAGCAGCGCCTCCCCCTAAGCACTCCGAAGTTCCACTGTTTAATAATAAAATGTTTATGAAAATACACTCACCTGATGACTCTTAAAATGAGGGTTAAAAAGGATTGGAGGAAGCAAGTATCAGCAAAGCACAGTAAGACTGTTGGAAAGGTCATAGCTCCCTCCTCTACAGATCAAAATGGCAGGCCACACCCCTTTGCAACCTTACCCCGAAATAACACCCCTGTGCTGCTACTGCCACCTCCACCCAAGACCCTCCTTTTTTCCTCTGCAAGCTCCCTGCTGGTCACTCCGCTTTTTCCAATGCTACCTCCCTCATAGTCCTCAGGAGCTAGGGCAGGTCCAGCTGGAAATTAGCTTCAGTTGGTCCCCTACTGCAGCTATCAAGAAATCTGACCGATCTAGCCACAAGCAGGCACAGAAGGGATCGATTCCAGCCCTACCAATGTCGCCAGCTTTTCATCTGCACAACCCGAAGGTAGTGTCCCAAGATACAGACCCATGGCAAGCAGGGCGAGGACAGTGCTCGAAAGAGGCTTAAAGCTGCCTTCTGTGTGATTGATACAGAGCTCCCTGGGACTTACTGTCCTGGAATTGATTGCCTTTCCCTCCCCTGAAAGCCCAAAGAAGGGGAGGCCTGGAAGTGGGTAGGAAGTTCCTACTGGCTTTTAACCCCATTATTGTGGACATTCTCATCTCCATTTCCCAGATAAGGAGGAAGTCACCTGCCTGATGTACACAGTAAGTGGCAGAGGCTTAGACTCGAATCCAGGTCTGCCCAGCTCCCAACCTCTTCCAGTTTAGTTTAAATAAACATTGCTTACTAAGCACCTACTATATGCCTGCTATGCACCAAGCCCTGGGCAGAGAGCTGTGGGAGTATAGAAATGAACCAAATCACTGAGAAACATCAGTCCATGACTCCATTAGTGTCCACGCCTCTCTGCACAGGTAGAATCACCTGGAGAGGATTTTTTAAAGGATTTTTGGTCTGCATTCGGAAGATTCTATTTCTGTAGGTTTAGGAAGAGACCCAAGAAATCCCTACTTTTTAAAGATTTCTCAAGATGGAAGCAAATAGGCCAAGGGGGAATTTCCTTTTGTTCTTCTTAATATATATAAACATTTTTAAATATCAGATTTGTATGCTTTTAAATATGAGATTGTATGAGTGACATTTACCTTGAATAGAAGGTGGGGGTCAATAGTTACCAAATTAACATTTTTCTAATTAAGTGAAGTCCTCCCGTGGCAATTCCAAAAGTGCAGGCAGGTTTGAGAACTCGACACAACACAGGGCTGCCTCTGGTGTTTCTTTGGAGTTGATGCACACTGTGAGAAGCATGGCAGTAGAGTAGGGAGCAACGCACCTGACAAGTCCATTCACACTAAGATTTTAGAGGCTTCATATTCATAGTACACCACTCTCCCCAGGTGCCACCATTTTAAACTAGGATGTCATGGAGACAGCACTGTTTACCCCCAAAAGACTAAATCCCTAATGGTAAAATATAGTCCCCAGATGAGCTGTTTTGAGGCAGGAGAGTCTCCTGACTTCTTCAAATAACACAGCTGCTATATGCAAGAAAGAATCAGGGCCTAAATGAGTTCCATGAGGACTTGTTCAAAGTTGGGGAGGGATGAGAAGGGGAGGGGCCAGATGCTTCATCACTGACACAGGATGCTGAGATGCAGAGAGAGTAAGGCCTAGTGATTTATAGGCCAACCACCTGCTGGGCAGCCTGTGCCAGCAAGCCAGTTCAGGGCAGCCTGAACAGAAATACTTACTCTTCCTCAAGTCAATCATCCAAGCCCAGGGCCCTCCACCAGGAGAAGAAGGATGCCACAGAGAGGCAGGGCAACTGCTGTTTTGAAACACTGGAAGAGATTTTACCTGGAAGGAGTCAGTTATCTGTGGAAGACCAGGGTTAGTATCATTATAAGAAAAATGTATGAACAGCCAAAGCTCACAAAGATAGAACTGGCTTCCTAGGTAGACACTACGTTCTCCATCACCAAAGAAATTCAAGCAAGGAGTGCTTGACAACTGGAGAGAGTGCAAGCTCCAGGTAGATCGCTAGAACATTGCATTTCCAAACTGCAATGTTTGGACTTAATATTGAGTCACAAAATTAATTTAGTGAGCTGTGGGTCAGCACATGAAATAGAATAGAAAGTATATGCATAGTAATGGTAAGTATTGTCCTTATGTTCTGAGGGTTCCCATTGGATATTAGACAAGTTTTTTGTAATTTGGTCAATGAGATTGAGCATCTAGATTGCGCCTCATTTAAGACTGAGACCTAGAGTTTACAAAGAAGCCAATCACTCTTGCTCTCAGGGAACCTATGATCTGGCTGGGAAGAGAAGACGAACACATATGTCAAGTCCGAAGCCAAGGTAAGGAGAGAGTGAACAGGAAACCATACCCTACCAGAGTGAATGGGATAACCTAGCAACAGTTAGCCCAGACGACAGGTAACACCTCTCTATGTACCATCTGCCAGGCACTGTTCTAAGCATTTGTGTATTAACTCATTTAATCCTCAAAGCAACCCTAGAAGGATGTGCATTGTACAAAGAAACAGGCCCAAAAATGTTTAGTAACTTGCCCAAGTCACACAGCTAGCAAGTGCTAGATCTAAGACTAAACCCAACTAGTGTGACTCCAGAGCAATGGTATGCTGGTAAATGCTTAACAACTGTCTTTCCAGGGGCTGGAACCCTATTGCATTTGCCAGTCCCTGTAATGTAAATATTTTCCCCATGACCAGTTTCAAGCTACCAATGAGACTTCTCTGAGCACAGAATTGGGACAAGATAGAAAGTAATACATCAGATATTATTTCCACCATGCAGGTACAATACACATAAATAACTTCAAGAGCATAGATAACAGTAAAATGTAGTCAAGTAATTCAGAAATAAGTTTTGAGTACTTATTATCCTTGTGTTTAGCATAATTTATCTGTAAGTTATAGAATTTAATTTTTAATAACAACTTTAATAATCAGCTCCCAACATTGCTGAAAATTTGGAAACTGACTCTCATGAGCTGGTCCATGCTGAATCAAGCACACCACTGATCCAGAGGTACTACATTACACAAGACCAAGAGATGGAAGAAGACACAACTACTATTTTGAAACACTTGCTTTGTAAAACTTTTGTAAGATACAGTTATATGATAAATAGAGAGATGACTGATAAATGATGTAAAACTTTTGTAAGATACAGTTATATGATAAATAGATGACTGATAAATGATAGGGACAGACATATATATTTGTGTGTATATACATATGTATGGATAATGTAATACATACATACTGGTTCATAATATAAGATATATTTCTTACTGTGGGTCATGATCAAAGAAGTTTGCAAAGTATTAGAATAAATGATAAGGTAACTTCTAATTTTGACATTCTATAATTCCATAATATCTCATTAGCTAACATTTGATAGGTACACCCTGTCTCTCCTACAGAGCAGAACAGGGACTGTGACTGCTCACTATATACATCTCCATCCCTGACCCTGCATCTGACCCAGTAAATGTCCTTAAAGACATGTTCAGCAAAGGAGACAGGGATGGAAATAAATATAAGAATTGCTTTTACTCCTGGGGTGGAACTCGGCCACATGCAATTCACCCAGGAAGAATTAAGCCTAAGAGGATGTTTTCCCACAGGATCTCTCTCTCTCTCTCTCTCTCTCTCTCTCTCT
Source organism: Homo sapiens (assembly GCF_000001405.40). Taxonomy (NCBI): domain Eukaryota; kingdom Metazoa; phylum Chordata; class Mammalia; order Primates; family Hominidae; genus Homo; species Homo sapiens. The sequence continues at coordinate 78,083,021 of NC_000014.9, read as the reverse complement.
CTCTCTCTCTCTCTCTCTCTCTCTCTCTCTCTCTCTCTCTCCCTCTCTCTCTCTCTCTCTCTCTCTCTCTCTCTCTGGAATGTTCCTTCTGATGGCAGAAAGTGCTCTGCAAAACCCATCTCAACCAAGAGGTGCTCCACATGAGGACCAGAATTTATGAGTGGAGGTGAGGGTGGGAGAATGATTTACAGATCAAGATTAATAAGAGCCCTGTGCTGTTTGCCTGGAGCTCTTCAGAGAGGCAGACATGGAAAGCCACTGTTGCAGGGAAAAGGGTAAACTGATACCCAGTGCCGAGGTGAGGGGCAGAAGGAAAGGATGGCTGGAGATGGAGATGTAACACTGAAAGCCTAGGGAAGGCAAGAGGGAGAAGGAAGGAGCTGGCACAATGATAGGTGTTGTTTTGTCGAGAAAAGCCACATAAAAAGCCACATGGAAACAAAAGACAGCCGTGCCCAGGATTTGGCCACATGTAGTTATTTTATGTCTGTTTACCCCTCTGAATTCTAAATTCCGTGAGAACCAGCATTCGTTGGCTGGTCTGTCCCTGGCACCTCTTCAGAAAGCAATAAATATTTGCTCACTTAACAGAAAGATGAGCTTGTGAACGTGGTATCTATGATAACAAGGGGTCCCACTGCCTCAACTAAACTAGAACTGCCTCCCATTGTGAAAATCATTAACTGAATACAGCCCCCAATAATGCTGGTGCTGGGGCAAAGACTAGAAACCATTTATTCAACATTCAACAAATATTTTGAGATCCAACTATGTCCCAGTTGCTTTTCTAGGTGGCCAAGTGTTAGTAGCTCAGCCAAAGTGTTGGTGGGATGGCCATGGGCTTCTCCTATAGCTACAAAACTAAATCCAGGTAAGTCTGCCCAAAGACAAAGAAAGCTCATCTCCCAACTTGTCATAGAACTCTGAGTGCAAAAGGGAGTGTGTGTTTCACATTTCCCATTCCTAGCTCACCTGGACTCAGCAAAGGCCTGAATAAGGCAGCAAACTCTGGCCATCGGGGTAAAGCTCAGTTCAGAATACCCTGCAAAACGGTGATACAGAGCAGACCTAGAAGCAACTCACCCACACACTATACCTTAAGAAAGAAATGTTCAGAGGAGGCTAGGGAGGCAACCTCTGCAGGAAGGAAGAAAAGAGCAGGCACACAGAGCATACTCCCCCAACCCAGTGCTCAGGAGGCTTTGGGACAGGGCAGGAAGAAGGCAGACTTAGAAGTCAAAGAAGCCAACTCTGAGCTCCTTTGTCCCTTACTAACTGAGAAAGTTCCTGAACTTCTCCAAGACTCAGTTCCCTTGCCAGCAAAATGGATATATCACGGTCTATAATCCAGAGTCATTTTAAGGAGTCATGAATGTAAGTACCAGCACAGTGCCTGACACAGAGCAGACACACAATTGATATAGATATTGATAAATTGGTGGCAATCATATTCTTTACACCCAGCCTCACCAAAACTAAAGAGCCCTTCCTAGGTGAGTTGCTGGCACCTCCTATCCCAGGCAAACAGGCTCAAAGACACCCTGATGTGCCTTTGTCTGAATCCTGTCCTCACTGCACCCTCTTCACTGTTCCCTCACCTCTTTGAGCTTTTGCTTGCTTCTCACGTGTTCTCTGGGAACTCACCTCACAGTGCTGGGCATTTCCTTGTTCTTGCTCCCTCTCCTTTACTCTTCTTTCTGCTCAGACCCTCTCTTCCCACTCCCAGGATAAATAGATCTCCTTTTCCTGCCTTGCCCTGATACCTAAAATTATTCCCCATCTTGTTCCATACCTTAGACTCAGTGCAAGAGTGAAACCAATAAAGAATGGAGGACTATCTAGTTTCATCAGATTTATCTGCTTTTGAAATGTTCAGCCTACGTGTGTTAAAAATGGGGGCTCACACCTTACAGGCGGGAGGGGGAAGCACTTACAAAGCCAAGGTTGGCTCAGAAAACTTAGAAATAAGAAATGGAATTAAAGGGGGAAAAAAGTTTTCCCATTAAGAATTAGCCAGAAGAAATAAATGAATTCAACAAGATTTCAGGATACCAGATCAATATACAAAAATCAATTGTGTTTTTATAAACTTGCAATGAACAAAGATAAAAATTTTTAAATTTCATTTATAATAGCATCAAAAAGAATAAAATACTTAGAAATAAACCTTTTAAAAAGTGTAAAATTTATAGTCTGAAAACTACCAAATGTTGTTGATATCAATTAAAGTAGACCTTAAAAATGGAAAGACGGCCAGGAGCAGTGGCTCACGCCTGTAATCCCAGCACTTTGGGAGACCGAAGCCGGCGGATCACGGGGTCAGGAGATCGAGACCACGGTGAAACCCCGTCTCTACTAAAAATACAAAAAATTAGCTGGGCACGGTGGCAGGCGTCTGTAGTCCCAGCTACTCGGGAGGCTGAGGCAGGAGAATGGCATGAACCCGGGAGGCGGAGCTTGCAGTGAGCCGAGATCGCGCCACTGCACTCCAGCCTGGGTGACAGAGCGAGACTCCAAATCAAAAAAAAAAAAAAAAAAAATGGCAAGACATCCTATGTTCATGGATCAGAAGAATTAAAACGTGGTCAAGATGGCAATACCGGCTGGGCACAGTGGCTCATGCCTGTAATTCCAGCACTTTGAAAGGCTGAGACAGGAGGATCACTTGAGGCCAGGAGTTTGAGGCCAGCCTGGCCAACATGGTGAAACCCTGTCTCTACTAAAAATACAAAAAAATTAGCCAGGCTCGGTGGCTCATGACTATAATCCAAGCTACTGGAGAGGCAGAGGCAGGAGATGCACTTGAACCTGGGAGGCGGAGGTTGCAGTGAGCTGAGATCACGCCACCCACTGCACTCCAGCCTGGGAAACAGAGTAAGACTCCATCTCATAAATAAATAAATAAATAAATAAATAAATAAATAAATAAATAAGCCAGGCATGGTGGCATGCACCTGTATTCCTAGACACTTGGGACACTGAGGCAGGAGGATTGCATGAGACCAAGAATTTGAGGCTACAGTGAGCTTTGATAGTGCCACTGCACTCCAGCCTGGGAGATAGAGTGAGTCTCTGTCTCAGAAAAAAACAAAAAACCAAAAAAAGATGGCAGTACTCTCCAAGTTGATCTGCAGATTCAATATAATTTCTATCAAAATCCCAGCCATCTTTTTTGCAGAAATTGACAAGCTAATTCTAAAATTTAAATGAAAATTCAAGGGATCTAGAATAGCTAAAACCATCTTGGAAAAAGCACAAATTTGAAGGACTTATATTTCCCAATTTCAAAAGTTACATCAAAGCTACAGTAATCAAAACAATGTAGCACTGGCATAAGAATAAATGTATAGATTAATGGAATAAAACTGACAGTCCAGAAATAAACTTTTTAATGTTGGACATTTATAGGTACACAATTAGCGTTATTGATTTTGAGGTCCTCTCCCCCATTCCCTTCCCACCATGGGTCTTAGGGATTCAGCTCCTCATATGTGGCTTTTCCAAGGAATTAGACCAGAAAATTTCTTGATCAAATTGATAGGGTGAGTTTTTGTTTCATTTTCAAAGGAATTTCCCAAAGGAAAAGCAAGGAAATCAAAGAGAACAAAACACACCAAGGAATACACAACCTGAAGCAAAACCATATGGTTCCCACACTAACCAGAACCCTTTTATTCTCTGCTTCCTTCACACACAAAAAGATGTAAGCCAACCCATTGGTCTAAAGCACCCACAGTGGTCCTAGGAACCAGCTCAAAAAGTCTGGACTTCCTAAAACCCAGGAATACATCTCAGGAGTTTATGCTTTTACATCAGTTAAAATTACCTCAGCTGCAAGGAATAGAAATATCACTAACGGTGGCTTAAATTGTAGACAGTTATTACTTACTGGACACAAGGTAGAGGTGGGCAGTCCCAGGGTAAGCATAGCAGCTTATCTATGTCCTTGGGACACAACTCCATCAATCCTCTGCCATCCTCACTATACTACACTCCCCCTCTTAGTCACAACATGGCTGCCATATTCCAAGCATCACATTATCACATAACAGTATCCAAAACCATACTGCAAAAAAAAAAAAAAAAAAAAAAAAGAGTAGCAAAAATGGCATTTTCCTTTCCTGCTTTTCACTTATTAGGAAGGAAACATCTTTCCCAGAAGCCCCCAACAGTCTTGTTCTTGCAGCTCTTTGGTCAAAATTTGGTCATCATAGAATTACCTTACCCTGATCCCATTTTAAGCAACTCCTCAGATTTACTTGACCTGGCTTGCTCAACAAGAGGACCCTGGCCACAGCTCCCTTCAACCAATCTCCTAACACAACCAAACCAGCTCAGCCTCCCTGAAGGTGAGGGCTGGGCTTTGATGTGACCTCCAATGGACCCACCAGCAGCTCTGGCCCTCAAGCCTGGCCTGTGGGACCACAGAGACTATGGCTCCTACCACCATTTTATATTTGTAGATTGTGCAATGATCTCAAAGGTTTTGCTCACTATGGGCCATGCAGATGCTCACCTGCACCTACTCACCTTATTCATCCAAAAATATGAGCTGTGGAGACACGTATTAGCAAATGTCCCCATGTAATAAATGGTGGGAGGGACAGAGAAACAGACAGCTCTAGGTTTCTCCCCCATACCTAAATTCATATAACTACACACTTCCTTCAGAGAGCATTAAGTTCACTGAGAAAAAATCGATTCATCCTCTTGTTTCTTGCCTGTTTTTAAGCCCTTTTAACCTGTCTCAGCAGAGACTCTGGTCCAGCCAGACTCTGTGGAGAAGTGTGAAAGGAATGGGGTCTGGCTGGTGGCCGAGGTCAGGGCCTGCTTACCAATCATGCTCTGGCCATGCTTCAGGCAAACTTCCACCTGGTACTCAGAGAGCTGAAACCTTTCCATTAATCCTGAATCTGTCATCTTCCACCATGTTCACAGGGAAACAGCCCTGGGGGAGGTGGGTACCCTGAACCGAGTTCCGACTCTGGGCTCCCATTTGCCCTTCTTCTCCCAGAGGCCCCCCTGTGCTGCCCTTTCTCAGCCTGGTCCCCACATACACCCTTCCTTTCTCAACTCTGTTGGCAGCTTTTTCTCACTTCTCTTGTCTCCCCTCCAGCCACGTCCTCGCTGCTTTTTTCTGATGGGTAAGACCATGAACTCTGGGGCCAGACAGCGGGGGTTGAAGTCCTGGGACCACCACTTACTAGCTAGGTTACCTGGGCAAGTTACTGCACCTCCCAGTGACTTGGTTTTCTTCTCTGCAAAATGGACATAATGCCTCCCTCCCAGGGCTGCTGTGAAAATTAAATGAAATCTTAATAATAATGAAATCTTAAATGAGAAGGGACATATTCTAAGCACTTAGCGTGACAGTCACTGTTCTACAGACACATAACTATTCTACCTCAACAGACACGTAAAAGGCTTAAAACAGTGTCCAGAATACATAAGTGAACAAAAAATATTAGCTGTGGTTAACGAAATTATTATTATTTTCTTGTTGTTGTTGTTTAGAGATAGGGCCTCACTTTGTCAACCAGGCTGGAGTGCAGTGGCACTATCATAGCTCACTGCAACCTCAAATTCCTGAGCTCAAACAGTCCTCCCACCTCAGCCTACTGAGTAGCTGGGACTACAGGTGCATGCCATCTTGCCCAGCTAATTTTTTAATTCATTTTTGTAGAGACAGAGTCTCGCTATGTTGCCCAGCCTGGTCTCCAACTTTTGGCTTCAAGTGATCTTCCTGCCTCGGCCTTTCAAAGTTCCGGGATTATAGGCGTGAGCCATCATGCCCAGCCCCCTTTTCCCCTCACCCCATGGGAAAATGGGAATTCATTCATTCATTCATTCATTTACTCACTCAGCAATTACCTGTCACCTGTCCACCTTGGGGTGGCCCAGGCTGGAATAGGGGAGGCACTGTGCTATAGAGGAGCTTGCAGACTAGCCAAGCATTCCCCTTCCCTTTTTGGGCTGATAAATGACTGCTAAAGCCTAACCAGAATTAAAATGTGTTGGCAGAGCTATATCATTACTCAGTGTGACAATATTTTGATAACTGTATCTCCAAACAAGAACCAGCATAGGCGCTCCATGGAGCTGGCAATAAATTCTGTTGGGGGCACCCCAAACCTGTGGGTGGCACCAAGTTGGATTTCTTCATCCCCATATATATTCCAAGTAGAGGGGGAAGAATGGAAGGCCTGGAGAGAGGGGGCCCCGGGCAGGACCACAACAGTGGCCAGAAGGGAAAGGCCTGAGAGCAAGGGCTCTTTGCCACTTCCCATGGCTTCACAGGAACCCACTAGGGTCTCTGTTGCTAATCTCAAATAGGCATAGGCCAGGTGCAGTGGCTCATGCCTATAATCCCAGCACTTTAGGAGGCTGAGAGGATCACTTGAGGCCAGGAGTTCAGGACCAGCCTGGGCAACATAGCAGGAGCCCATCTCAAAAAATGAAAATTAGCCAGGCATGGTGGTACATGCCTGTAGTCCCAGCTACTTGGGAAGCTGAGGCAGGAGGATCAGTTGAAGCCAGAAGTTCAAGACCAGCCTGGGCAACATAGCAAGACCCTGTCTCTAAAATAATAATGATAATAATAATAATAATAAAGTTATCCAGGTGTGGGGGTACATGCCCGTAGTCCTAGCTACTTGGGAGGCTGAGGTGGAAGAATCACTTGAGCTCAGAAGTTTGAGGCTATAGTGAGCTATGATGGTGCCACTGCACTCCAGCCTGAGTGACAGAGCAAGATCCTATCTCTTTAAAAAAAATTTTAAACTAAATGAGTGTAGTAGTCTAACCGACATCCCTCCTGGAACATTGTGAATATTAAAAGAAATACTAGTCAAGGAAGGGCTTTGAAATCCCCAAAGTGCCGTGTCCCTGGAAAGGATAAGTGTTATCCACATTGGTCTTCAAGACAAAGTGAGTGCACTGAGGGCAGAGGTTGCAATCTGTAGGCCCCACGCAGCCCACAGCTGTGTTGTGTTTGGCCTGTGCTTTGTGTGGTATGTTCATTAAAAATATAGATTTGTTGCCAGCATTTAAAAACCAGGAAATTTCACATAAAAATCCAGATTTCTGGCTTGTCCTGAAAAATCAGAAGATCCAGCAACAATTAGCCACAGCTGAACAGTATCTGCCCCTTCAACCAGGGCTGAGAGGAAGCTCCAGTCCACCACCAGAGACGGTGTCTGCTCTCTGAGCCCTACACACACAGGCTTCCTCTGTGCAAACAAACACACACACGCATATACACACACACAGCCCTCTTCAATCATTCATCCGAGTGGCCTGGCCCCTCCGTGTATCTGAGTTTGGGCCTTCTGGTTCAGCGCTAAGACCTTAAGCTCTGAAGATAATTGCACCTGGTTGCTCACTGCGGCTCTACCACTGACCCTGTGACTGTGAGAATTACTTCACCCCTCTGAGCCTGTTTCCCAGTCTATTAAATAAGCATTCATTTATTCAATCAATATTTATTGAATGCTCATTCTAGGCCAAGCATTTAGCAAACAAGATAGACAAAGCAGACATTAAACAAGTGAAAAAATAAACAAGATAATTTACCGGTTGTGATCTTGCTAGCAAGAAATACACCAGGTGAGGTCCCAGAGAGTCAGTGATGGGGTCTAGGTTGCAGGGGCCACTTTAGCTAAGGTGGTCAGGAAAAAGCTGGGGAAAGTGGTTGTACTCACTTCCCGGGCTGTTTGGGGATTAAAAGTGAAGCACTTCACAAGCACAATGTCCCGCACCTGGGCAGGATGCTGTTAGTGGTGCCATCACATCACCACGCTGGATCTTGTTAGGAGGCCTGAGAAGCAAAGGGGGTCGGGGAGGCCAGCTCCCAGGAGCAGGTGGAACCCAGGCTCCCCACCCCCACACAACAGCCCCACACTTCAGAACTGCTTTCAAAGCCTCCTCAATTATCCCATCTATAAATACAGCCTCTCAGCAGAGAAGGGGCAGAGATGCTGGCAGGAAGATTTAACCCTTCAATGGGCCTTCCCCCATCTCTCTTTCCCTAAAGGTTTTTCCCCCGCCCCCTCTCCTCCCCATCCCTGCCTGTGGCCTCTTCCTCTCCATCTCTGAATCCCTTCCCACTGCCAGCTGAATCCACGTTTGACTTGTACCAACAGCCGCCCCACTACAATCTGGAAAGGATTCAGTGGAGAGCATGGATAAAAATCTATTACTCGGTGGTATTTCCCTACGAGCCTGTGGTGTTCAGTGTCAGCTCCAGCGCTAGCCCTGGGCTCCTTGCAGACACCAAGCACACTGGGCCACAGGCCAGGTTGGTTTTAAAGGGCCCTTGGCATGTCTGTCTCACTCTGGGCAGGGGAACCACTTGCTGCAGGCCTGGGATTGAGTTGCATTGAGGGGAAAACATATTTGTTTAAATAAAAGCTATGGTTAGATTTTCTATTCTTCCAATGTTAAACAGGCACCTACTAGATCACCCATTTTCCCTGGCTCCCAGCTCCCTGGCCTCCTTTTCTTGGTTTCCAGAATATCATTGCTTCGTCCACCCCAGGGCACTTCTGTCCCACTGTGTGGAAAAGAGTCCCCCTGTGTCTACTGAATACCTCCTCATCTTTCTGATCAGGGAAGCCCTCCCTTGCACCCCAGACTGTACCAAATCCCCTCATACAGCTTGATCACTGTTGTGATTTTTGACAATGTGTTCCTTCCCCATACACTGTCCTGTGAGTTATGATTCTGTTTAAACTCACTGTTATGGCCGGGCATGGTGGCTCACGCCTATAATCCCCAGCACTTCGGGAGGCTGAGGCAGGCAGATCGCTTGAGGCCAGGAGTTTGAGACCAGCTTGGCCAACATGGCGAAACCCAGTCTCTACTAAAAGCACAAAAATTAGCTAAGCATGGTAGTGCATGCCTGTAATCCCAGCTACTCAGGAGGCTGAGGTGGGAGAATCATTTGAACCTGGGAGGTTGGGGCTGCAGTGAGCCAAGATCGCGCCACTGCACTCCAGCCTGGGCAAAAGAGAGAGACTCTATCAAAAAAAAAAAAAAAAGAAAGAGAAAAAAAAGAAACTCACTGTTGTACTGTTGTATTTCTGCACCAGGCACAGTGCCTGGAACCTGATTGGTACTCAATAAATATTGGTGAATGAGTAAAGAGGTGAATGAATGAATGCCCAGCAGGTGTCAGCACCCTGACATATGCAGAAGAACCATAAGAGTCCTCTGGAATGTGTGTGCATGGGGTCCAGGGCACTGCCTGCCCTGTTAAACACTGTCCCCAGCACTTGGCCTGGCACATATCTCATGCTTTGGGAATACCTGGTGGTGGAGCTGAATGGATGAAAGTTAGTGCCAATGAGTCCATATTTAGGATGAGCTCAGTGAGGGCCTTTTCAGCAACGTTGCAGCACAGTTCAGAAATTTTCCAGCAAAGCTACTGTAATAAACTTTACAAAACAGGCTGTAAAGTTAGTATTTACAAAAAAAAAAAAAAAAAGTCCAATTAATTTTAACCATTGATAACAAAGGAATCAATAGCAGGTGAGTTACGAGCTGCATGTGAAATGTGGGTCTCTCACAGGGTGAATGATGTGGTAGAGACAGAGGACTCGTCGGCCAGAATACTTACAGAAGGTTTTCCAGTCGAGGTAGGGCTAGACCTGGCCAGAATTGTCTAGGGGAGAGGGGGAGAGCCCCCCTATTTAATTTATCCAATAAAACCTAAAACGTGTTATTACACAAAGCTCCAAGACCCAGTGAGTGTCCCATGAGAGTGCTCCATCAGACCTGACAGCCATTAGCTATTATCATGCCTGACGCACACCATGATACAGGTCTAGGCTGTGGGCATGCAATGAGGGGGAAGATAAGATCCCAGCCCTCCTGAAAATTTCATTCTAGCTGAAGGACAAGTAAAGAAGTTCAGAAGATCATTTCAGAAGAGAAGCACTACAAATAAAGTGACTAGCAGAGGCCATCTTTAGACAGGGTGGTCAGAAAAGCCTCTATGGGCAGGTAAGCTGAGGGTGGAGGCAAAAATGAGCCAGCCATTAAAGAAGCAGGTGTGTGTGGAGGTGAGCAGGGTGCCAGGACAGGGTGTGCTAGGACCAGGAACAGGCCCATGCAATGAGACTCTCCAACTAGAACAGGTAGGGGGATTCAAGAAACAAAAAGACCAGGATGGCTGGACTGGTAGTGAGCATGATATGAAGACTGACCCGCAAGCTCTTACTCACAATTCCTGTAAGAGACTGAATGTTTGTGTCTGTCCCTTCTAGCCCCCATCCCCCCAAAAAATTTATACACTGAAACTCTAATGCTCCAGTGTAGCTGTATTTGGAGATGGGACCTAAAGAAGTAATTAAGTTAAATGAGGTCATAAGGAGGAGGCTCTGATATAATAGAATTAGTGTCCTTATAAGAGATGCAGAGAGACTGGGCATGGTGGCTCATGCCTATAATCCCAGCGTTTTAGGAGGCTGAGGCAGGTGGATCACTTGAGCCCAGGAGCTTGAGACCAGCCTGGACAAAATGGCAAAACCCTTCTCTGCAAAAAATACAAAAATTAGCCAGGCATGGTGGTGCACACCCATAGACCCAGCTACTCAGGAGGCTGAGGCAGGAGAATCACCTGAGCCTGTGGAGGTCGAGGCTGCAGTGAGTCGTGATCATGCCACTGCACTCCAGCCTAGGTGACAGAGTGAGACCCTGTCTCAAAAATTAAAAAAGAAGAGACCCAGAGAGTATTCTTACCCCAACCCCATCGGGCACATAAAGAAGAGTTCCTTTGAGCTCACAGATTGATTATGGTCATCTCCAAGGCAAGAGAAAAGGCCCCAGAGTGAAACCTTCCTTGCCGGCACCTTGATCTTGGACTTCCTACACCTCCAGAACTATGAGAAATAAATTTCTGTTGTTTAAGCCACACAGTTCTGTGGTATTCTGTTATAGCAGCTGGAGCAAGAGTAATACAATTCCAAAACCAAAAATTCTGAAAAATAATTAAAGTGTTTTATCAGCTTGGGACAAACTCAATTAGTAACAAACCTGCCCTGACCTGATATGAGGCTACTTATTTTCTTCACTTATCCAACTTTATGTGAATATTTGTACATTTCACTGATGAACTATTGACCCACTTTTTTGACCCAGAACCTGCTGGGGTATTAGAGGATATATGGTATGTAGACTGTATTACCTTTTTAAAATCTAAAAAATTCTGAATCCCTAAACACATCTGGCCCAAGGTTTTCTATGCAGAATCAATGTCCCCTTTAAAGATCTTTATCAGAGAGGGGCTCCTGGTTTCCTTTGGCAAAGTAAACTGAGAAAGAGCTAGGTAGAAGTGGATGGCTTTCTTCACTTTTTTTAAAACTTTATACGCAACTCTATCAACAAACACAAAGGATTGTAAGTGAAAAGCAAAATAAAATGGTTGGTGGCTGTGGTGAGTGATTCCTCAGACAATAAAGTAGTCAGAGTTCTGCAGCTTAGCCATTAATTTGACCAAGACATGCTGGAATTGCTCAATCAAAATGGATGATTTTTCTGCCCTGTGGAAGCGCACCTCTTTTTTCATAATGGACATCAGTGGGGACTGGCTGGTGTCCCTGTGGTTGGAGTGAGTATCCCCATTGGTATGTCCAGTACCCCCCACCCCACCTCCACTGTGGGCAGCTGAATGTGCTGACATCTCAGTTTTATTTCAGGGGTTGGGGCTTATTTGGTCTGAGTAGTAGCTACAAAGGATGCCCAGCAGCAGCAGGAGCAAGAGTGTATCTAAAACTGAAAAAGCCACAGAGGTGAGTGTGGGACATATAAGAGGAAATGAAACCCAATGGCCAGGAGCCAGGTAGGCACAGGAGGGAAGGAGGTGGCCGGAGCAGAGGCAGGGAGCAGGGACAGAGGCTGCATGACTGTTGCCTCGCCCAGGCCTGGAACTCCAGAGGTTCTTTCTCACTGGGAGGGTAAGAGAGTCCTGTTAAAGATGCAGGGTCAGGAAGATGCTGGAAGGGTGGGCCTGAGGAGCTGGGTTTGACTCTTCTGGCTTGAGGACATCCTTTATCTTTTTCCTTCTAAGTCTGAGCTTTCCCAGAGAGCACTGACTTTAGTTCAGAAGCCTCTGAAGCAGCTTGGACTTCCCCAAGAGGCTGGGAAAGGTGTCATTCCTGTATCCAGTGTAGCTTGGTCTTCCAGAAGTGAATTTCTTAAAGCATAGTCCTGGGAGGTGGTTTCCCTCCTTTATCAAATAAGTGTGGGAAACACTGCATTCTGCATCTCCATCATGATGAGTCATTATTACATTAGAAGTTCTTAGAAACCCTGCTGGTCCTTATGGAAAAGATGGAAAAACAGGGCCTAGATTTACCCTCCCACCCTAAACAACTTAAAAAACCAGACAGAACATGTGAACATCAGTGTTCAGAGATCAGACTGCAGTTGCTGAGAAAAGAAAAGAAACGTGGTGAGCCCTAGCACTCCACCAGCTTACTGCATAAAGGCAGTTTCTGACCACAAGAAAAGAGGGTACATTCACAGAGCCTGGCTGTCTCTCTGAGTGGAGGAGATGGAAATCCAAGTTCAGGATGCCATGGTGAGGTACAGTACCAGAAAAGAAGTACTGCAAAAAGGCCACCATGAGTAGGTTCCTGAGTACTGATCTGCACATCTGGAAGAGGAAATTATCTGAGATTGGAGAAAGACCCACTGGAAAAGAGCAGTCAAAATATCCAAAGGTCTTGAAATAGCTCATGTTCCAACTAGCCAGAGAAGAAAATTGTAGTGAGACCTGGAGCATTGGGGGATTGCTTTAATAGCAGGAATAAATTAGCCCTAAAGGCTGCTCTACATCTACCCTAATGCAGCTTTCAAAGGCATCAAAAGTATCCAACTGAATCCAAGGAACTTATCAGTGCCAACACAAAATTAAATATTATTTAAAGGAGCAAAACAAAATCCAGAAACCAATTATGTAAAATTCTGAGAGGCTTAAGACAATGGAAAGGTATTCTCTCACACTTCCAGAGGCCAGAGGTCTGAGAGAAAGGTGTCCATGCTGCCACCCTGCCTCCCGAGGCTCTGAGGGAGATGCATTCCGTGATTCTCTCTCCTGGCTTCTGGTGGGTGCTGGAAGTCCTTGACATTCCTTGGCTCCTAGCAGCATCACCCCAATCTCCCTACCTCCATCTTCACATGACCTCTTCCTCTGTATGTCTTCCCTGTGTGCCCGTCCCAAAACTCGTTCTACCTCACTCTTATAAAGATGTATGTGACTATTTAAAGCCTACCCAGATAATCCAGGATAAGCTCCTCCCCTCACAGTCCTTACCTTAATCATAACTTTTGCCACAAAAGGTAATCATTCATTCTTTTTCACTCTAAACAATCACAGGTACAGGGATTAGGACGTGGACATATTTTAGGAGGGCCACCATTCAGCCCAATACAGTGCTATTATACATTTTTTATGCTATATGTCAAGAGGTATAATGTTGCTTGAAAGTAAAGTAAGATTGCTTAAAGATGTAAGGATACAGAATAATTTAACAATGCTATTAACTTACTTGACCTAATTGATATTTATTGAACAAGCCACCCAGCAATAGAAGAATACACACTCTTTGTAATTATATATGGTGCATTCACCAAACAGACTGTATTCTAGGCCATGGAACAAGTCTCAATAAGTTTAAGAAGATTGAAGTCATACAAAATGTTCTCTGATCACGATGGAATTAAACCAAAATCAAAAATGGTAAAATATCTGGAAGATCCCTCAACATCTAGAAATTAATTAAACAATATACTTCTAAATAACACACAAGCAAATAAAAAATCAAAAGTGAATTAGACAATATTTTGAATTGAATAAAAATGAAAATACATTATAGCTAAAGGAGTTCTTAGAGGAAAACTTACAACATTAAATGCTTACAGCATAAAAGAAGAAAAGCTTTATTTAATGATCTAGGCTACTCATCTTAAGAAACAAGAAAAAAAAATTAAACCTAAAATAATCCGAATAAATGAAACAACAAAGTTAAGGGAAGAAATGAAGGAATTTGAAAACAAAATCAATTTTTAAAATTCAATATAACAAATAGATTTTTTTTGAAAAAAATCAATGAAAGTAATAAAACTCTAGAGAGACTCATCAGGGAAAAAGACTAAAAAAATATATATCAAGTATGAAAGAGTTGACATCACTATGGATCCTAAGACATTTAAAAGATATTAAGGAAATATGAACATTATGCCATAAATTTATGAACTTAGATGAAAAGAAAAAATTTCTTAAAAGACACAAAGTACCAATATCCCTACACCTATTAAAGAAATTGAACTGTTTTCATTCTATTCTTGTTAATAAAACTAAATTATTCAATTTAAAAAATTGAAGTAAAGACTTTCCACATAGAAAATACCAATTAATTCTTGTCCACTGGTATACCATACCAAGTCACCACAAATTCAAGTTTGTACCACTGTGCTCCACCTACCACCAGTAACCCCATCCTCACTGCCACCCACGCAGTGGTCATCTAGACAGCTCTAAAATTCCATCCTATAACTGGCTAGTTATATGCAGAAGATTGAAACTGGACCCCTTCCTTACATCATATATAAAAATCAACTCAGGGCCGGGCATGGTGGCTCACTCCTGTAATCCCAGCACTTTGAGAGGCCAAGGCGGGCAGATCACCTGAGGTCAGGAGTTCGAGACCAGCATGACCAACATGGAAAAACCCCCGTCTCTACTAATAATACAAAAGTTAGCCAGGCATAATGGTGCATGCCTGTAATCCCAGCTACTCAGGAGGCTGAGGCAGGAGAATTGCTTGAACCCAGGAGGGAGAGGTTGCAGTGAGCCAAGCTCATGCCATTGCACTCCAGCCTGAGCAACAAGAATGAAACTCCATCTCAAAAAAAAATCAACTCGGGATGGATTAAAGACTTAACTGTGAAACCTAAAACCTATTTTAAAAAACCCTGGAATATAATCTGGGAAATACCATTCTGGATATAGGCCCTGTCAAAGATTTCATGACAAAGACACCAAAAGCAATTGCAACAAAAACAAAAATTGACACATTGAGACCTAATTAAACTAAAGAGTTTCTGCACTGCAAAAGAAATTATCAGCAGAGTAAACTGACGGCCTACAGAATGGAAGAAAATATTTGCAAACTATGCATCTAACAAAGGTCTAACATCTAGAATCCATAAGGAACTTAAACAAACTAACAAGTAAAAAACAATCCCATCAAAAAAGTGGACAAGGGACATGAATACACATTTTTCAAAAGAGATACATACACCCAACAAGCAGATGAGAAAATGTTCAACATCACTAATCATTAGAGAAATGCAAATTAAAACCACAATGATATACTATATCAATCCAGTCAGAATGGCTATTATTAAAAATTCAAAAAATAACAGATGCTGGTGAGGTTGCAGAGAAGAGGGAACACTCTTACACTGCTGGTGGGAATGTAAATTAGTTCAGCCATTGTGGAAAGCAATGTGGGGATTTCTCAAAGAACTTAGAAATACTATTCAACTCAGCAATCTCATTATTGGGCATACATCCAAAGAATATATATCATTCTACCATAAAGACACATGCACATGTACGTTCATTACAGCAACATTCACAATCGCAAAGACTGGAATCAACCTAAATGCCCATCAATGGTAGACTGGATAAAGAAAATGTGGTATATATACACCATGGAATATTACATGAAACAACAAAGTTAAGGGAAGAAATGAAGGAATTTGAAAACAAAATCAATTTTTAAAATTCAATATCACAAATAGATTTTTTTTAAAAAATCAATAAAAGTAATAAAACTCTAGAGAGACTCATCAGGGAAAAAGACCAAAAAAAATACCAATATCAAGTATGAAAGAGTTGACATCACTATGGATCCTAAGACATTTAAAAGATAGCCATTAAATAGAATGACATTATGTCCTTTGCAGCAGTGTGGATGGAGCTGGAGGCCATTATCATAAGTGAACTGACACAGGAACAGAAAATCAAATACCGCATGTTTTCACTTATAGGTGGTAGCCAAACATTGAGTACACATGAACACAAAGAAAGGAACAACAGACACCAGGACCTAGGGCCTACTTGAGGGTGGAGAGTGAGGATTGAAAAACTACCTATCAGGTACTATGATTATTACCTGGGTGACAAAGTAATCTGTACAACAGGCCCCCATGACACAGTTTTCATATATGACAAACCCGCACATGTAGTCCTGAACCTAAAATAAAGGTTTAAAAAATAGCAGGTGAAAAAATAAATAAATATGTAAAATCTCATCCTAGCATCTGCTTTCCCTGACCATCTCTGGTACCTACTGTCACAGGTTAGCTTCCCTGAGAAGCAGGATTTGAAATGGAGATTAGCACTCAAGAAGTTTATTATAGGAGGCACTTAGAATCAACACCCATGGAGGGGAGGGGAAAGAGGCAGCTTGGGCAGACAGAGCAGCTGAATCTGGATGTAGTCTCAATGCAGGCTTCTGCTGACCCTCCAAGGTCAGTTTTGAGGCTACGATGACACTTCTGAGTTATCCTGACTTGGGGGGAGGATGCCAGAGCTTTGTACCCTGGCTTCCATCAGTCACTGGATATAGCCACCCCAGAAATTGGGTCGGACGCTGAACCAGGCAGCTCTCTGCAACTGATGCCATCCCAGGAGGGCTGGCAGCTGAGCATGTCACAGCATCCACCACTCTTCCCAAAAATAAACTACCTGCACCCAAGTGCTGGCTTCAGCCTTTACTCTCAGGGAAACTGAAACAAGAACAACTGCAAACATTTGGGATGCACAGTTCACTCATAAGGCGGGAGAAATTCCCATAGTACACTAAATTGTTATTTAGAAAAGAAATGCATGAAACCTTTGGGACTCTTTTCTATATTTCTTTTCCAGGAAAGTCCTTTATTTCACCCAGCTTGAACATACTCACTCAAGGAGGACTCTCTGGGCCTCCAAACACTGAACATCAATCTCTGTGAACAGAAAGCTGGTCATTGAGGAATTAAATTCCAAAGTTCTCATGTAAGGCTTTACTATACATAAGAACAGGGCAAGGCCAGGCTGTGTGGTTAGGCCCTGATAGCGGTCTAGGCTTGGAGTGGAACTACATCCATGAAGGCAAGTTCAATCCAACTGTGCCTCATATTTGCCTTTCTCCTACTCTTTCCTAGACACATTGTCTTAGTTCATTCCTGCTGATATAATAAAATACCTTAGCCTCAGTAATTTATAAATAACAGAAATATATTTCTCACAGTCCTGAAGGCTGGGAACTCCAAGATCAAGGCACTGTCAGGTCAGGGGTCTGGTGAGGGCCTGTTCCTCATAGGTAGCATGGGAGACAGAAGGACAAAAAAGAACCTATTTCCCTCTATCCCTTTTATAGGGCATTAATTTTATTTGCAAGGGTGGAGCCCTCATAACCTAATCACCTCGCAAAGGCCCCACATTCTAACACCATCACTGTGGGGTATAAGTTCCAATATATGAATTTTGGAAGGACAGCCACATTTAAACTGTAGCATTCTATCCCCGGCCTCCAAAACTCTTGTCTTTCCTACATGCAAAATACATTCATTCCACCCCATTAGCCCCAAAAGTCTTAACTCACTCCAGCACCAACTCAAAAGTCTAAAGTCCAGAGTCTCATCTACATCAAATATGGGTGAGACTCAAGGTACAATTCAGCCTGAGGCAAACTGCCCTGCAGCTGTGGACCTATGCAATCAAACAAGTTATGCCCTGGCCCCCTCTTTTCAAATCATTCTGCCATTGAGGTCCTGGCACTCTGGGCCTGCGATGGGTGGACAGCCATGAAGATCTCTGAAATGCCTTTGGGGCAATTCTTCCATTGTCCTGATGAATAGCATCTGACTTTCATCTATTCATGCTAATCTCCTTATCAAATATTCACTTGGCCACACACTTTGGTGTTTTCTCCCAAAAATGCTTTTTTATTCTTTACATGGCCGGGCTGAGAATTGTCCAAGCCTTTAAGTTCTGCTTTCCTTTTGATTCTGAACTCCATGTTTAATTCATTTCTCTCCTTACAGTTTACTGTAAGCAGTCAAGAGAAGCTATGCAGCACCCTCACCACTTTGCTTAGAGATTTCCTCTACCAAATATCCTAGTTCATTACTCTTAAGTTCTGCCTTCCACAAAGCACCAGAACACAGACACAGTTCAGCCAAGTTCCTCACCACTTTATAACAAGGATGGTCTTTCCTCTAGTTTTCAATACTTTGTTCCTTATTTCCATCAAAGACTTCATCAGAATTGCCTTTGCTGTCCATATTTCTACCAATGTTCTGATCACAACCACTTAAGCAATCTCTAAGAAGATTAAGGCTTTCTTGATAGCTCTCCTTTTTTCTCAGCCCTCCCCAGAATAGCCCTGTGTGGTCCATTCTTTACCCATTACCCATTCCCAAAGCCACCTTTACATTGTCAGGTATTTGTTATAGCAACACCCTACTTCTCAGTACCAATTTCCTAGTCCATTTCTGCCACTATAACAATAAACTGGGTAATTTATAATCAACAGAAATTTATTTTTTCACAGTTCTGAAGACTGGGAAATCCAAGATCAAGGTGAGGTGCCAGCAGATTCAGTGTCTAGTGAGGTCTTCTGTATGCTTCTAAGATGGAGCCTTTTTCCCATGTCCTCATGTGGTAAAGGCAAACAGGAATGAACACTGTCCTCACATGGCAGAAGAGATGGGAGGGCAGAAAGGCACCATGGCACTCCCTCAACTTCTTTTTATGAAAGCACTAATCCCATCTATAAGAATGGAGCCCTCATGGCGTAATAACTTCCTAAGTGCCCTACCTCTTAATTCCATCACCTTGAAAGTTACATTTCAACAGGTATTTTGGAGAGAAACAAACTTTAAACCATAGCACACTACTTTCCAGGGCACATCCCATCTCAAAGTAGCACAAAACATAAGGAGAGGTCTTAGAGCAAGTTTGTTCAACCTGCAGCCTGCAAGCCATATGCAGCCCAGGATGGCTTTGAATGCAGCCCAACGCAAACTTGTAAACTTTCTTAAAACATTATGAGTTTTTTTTTTTTTTTGCAGGGTTTTTTGTTTGTTTGTTTGTTTTTTAGCTCATCAGCTATCATTAGTGTTAGTGTATTTTATGTGTGGCCCAAGACAATTTTTCTTCTTCCAATGTGGCCCAGTTAAGCCAAAGGACTGGACACCCCTGTCTTAGAGCTTTAAGCAGCTGGTAGAAACTGGGAAAAGATTGGTTTCATTGCAAGTCCAATTTAGGCCTAGGAAGAAATCAGGCTGATGTGATATGATAAATGATCCAAGGGTGCAGGAAGAGGCACATCCTCTGGACTGGCCTCATTTATATCATCATTCTAGCCATTACCCTGCTTAATTGGGCCAACTGGCTGCATCAGCCCCAGACAGTAGCTTCATCCTTACCCAGAGGCTCCAGCAGCTACAGGTCAGCAACTACATTGTCCCAGCCTTTCCTCTTCTCCCTCACGTGGAATCTAATCTGCCCCTCCCTACTTATTGGAGATACTCTCTCTTTATTGAAGAACAGAAAGGTTGGGTACCATAGTGAGATGTGGTATAAAAATTATTGCCTTTGGCATCAGACTGGCTACAGGCCCAATCTCAGCTTTACCAATTATCACTCTTGCATCATGGGCAACTTAATTCTGTATGCCTTGCTTTTCTCATTTGCAGGACTGTGAATATTATCTAATTTATAAGGTGGTTGTAAGGATTAAATGGGATCATATATTTGAACCTTGCCCAAGGTGCTTAACAAAATCTACTTCCTTCATCTCCCACCATCAGGTGACTTTGATTGTCCTGCCCTGTACTAAGCATTACTGGGATACAATCTATGACACTTGTGAAAGCACTTACAATCTGTAAGCTCCACAGAGACAAGGACTATGTTTATTTTGTTCACCAGTGTACAGCCAGCATCTAGTACAATGCCCGGCACATGCAGGTACCCAGAAATATTTGTTGATTGAATGACAAAATGAATTATGCAAACTTGAATCATAAAATCTTAGAATTATAGCATTGAAAAGGCCCTAAAAGAGCATCTAGTCTAGGGATGGTATATCACTTACTTGTTTGTCCACTCCAACTTATATGTAGTTAATGCCTAGGGCACTGTGTTAAGAAGCATTCTGAGGCCACATTTGTCCTTACTAGGTGAGAGTGGTGCGACTAATTAGCAATGTCTGGCAAAGGTGTGAAAGGGGATCAAGCATCCCTAGTACCTGTACTTACCCTCTTTGGTCTAAACTAACACACCATTGTACAGATGAGGAAACAGGAGAACAAAGATCACACATCCAGTTAGTGCCTGACTTGGGCACAAAGCCACCTCTTCCAACACTCAACTCTGGATGTGAGCAGCAGAAAAAAAAAAAAAAAAAAAAAGACTGGTAAAGGTCTGATTTGCAAGATAATGACAGCAAGTTGGGAACGAAAGGTCACAGAGACTCTAAGCAGCCTTTCCTTCCAGCCATGGTCCCAGGATAAACATTTTTCCTCCACCCCTATGAGCAGGGTACAAGCAGGAATTTGGAAGAGATGCTGATGGGTAGCACTAACTGAGAAATTTCAGTGGGACCCAGGGACCAAACTCCCTCATTAATTCCCTCTTACCGGCATCACTTCCTTTCTGGCCACTTCAGTTCTTCATCAGCCCCCACCCCATTTTTGGTAAGGGGCTGCTCCTCCCTCTTCCTCAGGCTCCCAGGTTCCTCAATCACGGTCCTCATTTAACGTAACTTTGTCTCATCTCTCTCCAAATCCCTGTTTGGGAGAAGCAAAGAGAAGAGTAATTAGCAAATTCAGCATTCTGGTAACTCTTCTACAGGGAAGAATAATCATCTGTTAGCTTAAGTAAATCCCTGGATCTTGATTAGCTGTCCAGCGCTGACAAAGAAATGAGAATGGGCTCACTCACTGTGCCTGAGGCTCTGCATGAGACTTGGAGGGCAGGCAAAAGGCAAAATAAAATTTTTTTCATTTAAAACGGAGAACTCCTCTCAAGGAAGTAGAGCATAACTTCCTACTCATTAAGCGTGGGCTGCATGCATATAGAGACTTCCTTCTAAAAAGTCCAGTACAGAAAGATGGAAGGGCTGGGGGGATAGCTTTACAGTGGAGAACCCCGACAAACACTATCCCAGCTAGGTGATCAAGCTCAACGGCAGTGATAAGACATGTTGATGGCATGCACCCTTGAAATGATGTGATGAGAAGGGCATTTCACCTCTGTGATTTACTTTTCCAAAACACACAACTCCAATCTAATCATATGACACCTCAGACAAACTCTAATTGAGGGTCATTCTACAAGTGTCCAGCAGCTACTGGTCAGCAACTACACTGTATTGCACTGAAGAATACGCTAGTATTCTTTAAAATTGTCAAAGTCATCAAAAGCAAGGAAAGTCTAAGAAATGTTCACAGCCAAGAGGAGCCTAAATGTAATGTGATATCCTGGATGGGTTCTGGAACAGAAAAAAGATAGGAAGGGATAAGGAAATGTGAATAAAGAATGGACTTTAGTTAATAATAATGTATCAATGTTGGCTCATCAATTATAACAAATGTACCTTACTAATGTAAAATGTTAACACTACTGGAAATCGTATTTAGGTCTTAATCCATTCAGGCTGTGATAACTAAATATCATAGACTAGTACCTTATAAACAAAGGAAATTTATTTCCACAATTAGAAAAGCAAGAAGTTCAAGATCAAGGTGCTGGCAGATTTGGCATCTGGTGAGGATCCATTTCCCAGTTAATAGATGGTGCAGTCTTGCTGTGTCTTCTCTTGGTGGAAGGGGAGAATGAGCTCCCTCAGGCCTATTTTATAGGGGCACTAATCCCAACCATAAGGGCTCTGCCCTCAGAAGCTAATCACCTCCTAAAAGGCCCCACTTCCTAATACCATCACCTTGCAGGGGTAAGATTTCAACAAACGAATTTGAAGGCAGGGCTGGGGGTGTGGGTCACCAAGATTCAGACCACATCCTAGAGTATATGAGAATTCTGTATTATCTTCACAATTTTTCTGTAAATCTAATACTATCCTAAAATAAAACATTTTTTAAATTAAAGGCAAGGATCTTATGGGTCACCTGAAGAACAGCCCTGGCCAGCAACTCTGGTTATACTTGTGACAACAGGATTGTCCACATTCTCCCTCCCTCTGAAATGACTTTTTTACACTGAACAGCCACCGGCCCCTTCTCTTCCCACCCATGGTCTGAGTTCTGCTCTCCAAAATCCACAGAAAAAGTCTGGAGTCTACACTTCTCTCCAGCACAGCCCCCAAATATTTCAATTTCATGTCTCATCAAACCACAGAAGACCTGCAAACATCTTCCACTCCCAAACCTTCATTTTAGAACAGGAAACATGGGCCCAGGGAACAGGAAACTCACCTATGGTCATACAGACACTGACACCCAGGTTTGCTCACACCAGTCTATAGCCCTCTTTTTTAGAAGATTCTGCTCATAAGAAGAAAGTTAACATGTGCCCCGGTTTGCTCCTGAGAGTACACATCACTATTTCCTTCACCATTCATCATAATTTGGGACATCCAGATGCTCCAGAACCCTCCCAGGAGGACCCTCATCAGCTTGTGAATGTCTCCCTTACCCTCCCCCAAGTATTTTTAAGAAGAAACTGACTAGCGGAGGAAACGCTGGACTCCTTAGCAGAAATTTTTGAAGACCTTGCAGATGAGCCATATGCATTTGAGGACTATGATGTTTCCTTTGGGAGTGGTGTCTTAACTATTAAACTGGGTGGAGATCTAGGAACCTATTTGATCAACAGGCAGGCACCAAACAAGCAAATCTGGTTATCTTCTCCATCCAGTGGGCCCAAGAATTATGATGGGACTGGGAAAAACTGCATGTACTCCCATGACAGCGTGTCCCTCCATGAGCTGCTGGCCACAGAGCTCACTGAAGTCTTGAAAACCAAACTGGACTTGTCTTCCTTGGCCTATTCCAGAAAAGACACTTGATGCCCAGCCCAGTTTTAAAGATATTAAAAGCTAACAGACCAAGACCCCAGCTTCATTACACAGCTGAGGTCTGTTGGGTTTTTTTGTTGTTGTTGTTGTTTTATTCTTGCTTCTGAAGACAGTTGGGCAATGGGTAATGGCTCTGTGGAAAGAATGTGTGGCCTCCCACCTTGCCCCCAAGCTCTGATTTTTAATTTCTACAGATTTTTTTGGATTAATTATTTGATTTCCTCCCTCCCTCACACCATATCCCTTATCTTTTTTAATGTCTTATGCCTATGCCTGAATAAAATAACCTTTAAAAAAGCAAAATAAGAAGGAAAAATTCCAGGAGGAGAAAAAAAAAAAAAAGGAAGAAGAAGAAGAGACCAGAGTTAGGGATGTTAAAGGAACCAGTATCTTCTCCCTCCTAACAGTTGATGCCCAAAATTGAATACTGCAAATGACAGCTAACCAATGTAGTAACTCTGTGGCATGCAGTTACAAATAAATAAACACACTATCCCTAAGTGAGCCTCACGTGCACACTGGCTAATGGTCACATACATCAAGCATGGGTCTGAATGCAGCCTTTAGCCAACCAAATCATCAGGGTCAATGTCACCAGCACTTCATGTCCGCCTCCTTCATACTTCTTCCAATAAGTTTTTACCCAATGAGAAGGGATAAAGGAAGGAGCCAGACGAGAACTGCACGAGGTGCATTACATATGTTATCCATTGACTAATTCAATAAGCTGTTATGGAGTGCCATCGAGTGCCAGGAATTGGGGGAAGAACTGAGGATACAAAAATCATAAGATACCACCCAGGTCCTGGATGATTTCAGTTTGGTCGGAAAGACTTTCATGTCAACAACAAATTGCACAACAATGTGACTGAAACAATGGAAGCATGAGGTTAGGAGGTAACCCCCAATACTTTGTGAGGGATGTATTATTTGCCTATGGTTATGTTTTCCCGATGAGGAAACTCAGGCTTCAAAAAGTTAAATACCTTGCCCAAAGAAACAAGTTACTCAATGGTAGAGGTAGAAATTTCAAGTCAGGATGACAGAGCTCCAGAATCCATACTTTTCCAGTTACAGTGGAATAACGTTTCCCAAATGAAGTTATTGGTACGTGTTCTGCAAAATGTGTCCCATGGTCAATTAAGTTTGAGAATTTAGTATAGTACTTCTTTGTCTAGGAAATTCAAAATGTCCATATGGCTCTAAGAAGTCTTGCAATAAAAAATCTATTTACAATTTAAAATATGTTACAAATGCCCACCTAAATATTTTTTCTGAACCCTTTATTTCAGAGAATACTTATTCAGATATAGTGAACTAATGTTACAGGAACTGTATTTTGGAAAACTCACCTCTATACCCTGCCGTCAACCATAAGGTAAACAAATGCAATTATGATGCCCTTGTAAAAATAAGCTTAACTTGTACTTGACATGTTAGAACTGACAAAGCCAAAAGTATCCCTCTGAATAGATTCATAATCCATGAGATTTAACAGGAGTTTAAGTCTAGATGGCATAAAGGTAAAGATATGCCTTGGGCCAAGACCTCTGGGTTCAGCTCCAAATGCTTTACCCAAACGACCTCCCAGAGTTCTTTGGGTAGCTCTGAGGCCTTGACTTGCAGGAGGCCAATGAATAAAAGTACTGGAGGAGGTATTAAGTGAAAGAGGAGGTGATAAGGAAGGAGAAAGGCACATGGCAATATAAGAAAATAAGAAGAGGAGGAGGAGGAAGAGAAGGAGGAGGAGAGCAATAAGAAGATGATTGGAAAAGTTCCTTGGAAAGAAGGAGAGGGGCAATGTTATCCTATCATTGCAGCCTTGGCTTCCAGGCACTATTTGTGATCATGAAATGCTACTGATAACACCATATTCATTTCCTTTTTCTTTGAGACAGAGTCTCACTCTGTTGCCCAGGCTGGAGTGCAATGGCGCAATCTCGGCTCACTGCAACCTCCGCCTCCCAGGTTCAAGCGATTCTCCCGCTTCAGTCTCCCAAGTAGCTAGGACTATAGGCACGTGCCATTATACCCAGCTAATTTTTGTATTTTTAGTAGAGATGAGGTTTCACCATGTTGGCCAGGCTGGTCTCGAACTCCTAACCTCAGATGATCCAACCGTCTCGGCCTCCAAAAGTGCTGGGATTACAGGCATGAGCCACGGCGCCCGGAATTATTTCCTTTTTCTTATCAATCTCCCTAAATCAGGATTTCTAAACTATGGCACCACTGACATTTTGAGCCAGTCCATTCTTTGTTTGGGGGTGAGGCAGCGGCTGTCCTCTGCATTGTAAAATGTTTAGCAGCATGCCTAGCCCCTCCCATATGCCACTATTATTTGCCAGTAGCACCCTTGCCCCAGGTGTAACAACTAAAAATGTCTCCAGACATTGCCAAATGTCCTCTCCCAATTTCAAACCACTGCCTAAATGGTTATTTGGTGTCTGTCATCATCCCATAATCTCCAAATCAGAAAGATTAGCTTGCAAAACAAAGACATAGCCATTCCTGAATATTATTACCTGGTCCCCAGGCGCTTTTCAGTAGGAACCCACTAGTTACTGCCAGTTCATGCCAAATTCTACTCATTCCTGAGAGCCCACCTCAAATCTCACCACCTGCTTCCGTTAAGTCTTCCTGCCAGCTTAAGTCAGTGATGATCCCTCCTCTTCCCACTCTATCCTACCTTTCGTTGTACTGTATTATCCATTATTGATACATGATTGACTTCAGTTAAGCAGCTATATGTCTTTTATCTTGTACTGTCCTATATTAGTTCATTCTCACACTGCTAGAAAGAAATCCCTGAAACTGGGTTGGTTATTTATTTATTTATTTATTTATTTATTTATTTATTTACTGGGAGACAGAGTCTGGTTCTGTTGCCCAGGCTGGAGTGCAGTGGCACAATCTCAGCTCACTGCAACCTCCGCCTCCCAGATTCAAGCAATTCTCCTGCCTCAGCCTCCCAAGTACCTGGGATTACAGGTGTCCACCACCATGCCTGGCTAATTTTTTGTACTTTTAGTAGAGATGGGGTTTTGCCACGTTGGTCTGGCTGGTCTTGAACTCCTGACCTCAAGTGATCCGCCCGCCTCAGCCTCCCAAAGTGCTAGGATTACAGGCGTGAGCCACCATGCCCAGCCAGACTGGGTAATTTATAAAGAAAAGAAGTTTAATTGACTCATGGTTCCACAGGCTGTATAGGAGGCATGATGTTGACCATCTGCTTCGTTTCTGGGGAAGCCTCAGGAAACTCACCACCATGGTGGAAGGAAAAGGGGGAACAAGGCTTTCACATGGTGGGAGCGGGGTGGGTGGGTGGGGATGCTACATGCTTTTAAGCAACCAGATCTTGTGAAAACTCACTCACTATACGGTACCAAGAGAGCATGGTGCTAAACCATGTATGAGAACCCCACTCCCGTGACCCAGTCCCCCCCCACCAGGCCCCACCTCCAACACTGGGGATTACAGTTCAACACAAGATTTGGGCGGGGGTATAGATCCAAACCTCATCATGTCCTGTAATTCATTTTCAGTGAGCAAACATCAATAGAACATGTATGATATATCAGACACCGTGCTGGTGCAGCACCACATGTAGACACATATAGGATACGATCCTTTCCCTTAAGAAGTTCACAGTCAGCCGGGTGCGGTGGCTCATGCCTGCAATCCCAGCACTTTGGAAGGCCAAGGCAGGTGGATCATGAGGTCAGGAAATCAAGACCATCCTGGCTAACACAGTGAAACCCTGTCTCTTCTAAAAATACCAAAAATTAGCCGGGCCTGGTGGCGGGCGCCTGTAGACCCAGCTACTCGGGAGGCTGAGGCAAGAGAATGGTGTGAACCTGGGAGGCGGAGCTTGCAGTGAGCCCAGATCGCACCATTGCACTCCAGCCTGGGCGACAGAGGGAGACTCTGTCTCAAAAAAAAAAAAGAAGAAGAAGAAGAAGAAGAAGTTCACAGTCTTTGGCATAATCCCAGCACTTTGGGAGGCCAAGGTGGGTGGATCACCTGAGGTCAGGAGTTCGAGACCAGCCTAACATGGTGAAACACCATCTCTACTAAATACAAATAAAAATAATAATAATAATAATAAGCTGAGCATGGTGGCGCATATCTGTAATCCCAGCTACTCGGGAGGCTGAGGCAGGAGACTCGCTTGAATCCAGGAGGCAGAGGCTGCAGTGAGCTGAGATCATGCCATTGCACTCCAGCCTGGGAAACAAGAGCAAAACACCATCTCAAAAAAAAAAAAAAAGTTCACAGTCTCATAGGAAGGTATACCCAAAAGTTGCAGTCTTGCACAGCTGTTTGTCTTGTGTCCTCTCTCAGGAAACACATGTGTCCCTGAGGGTAAAGGCAAAAGTCTTTTGACAAAAGTCCAGTTCTTCTTTTGTGTCCACTACAGTGCTGAGCGTGCAGTAGGTGCCAAGAGATTGCACTGAACTGGGATCAGAAGAGGCAGACCTGGATCACATCAAAAGAACCAAAAAGCTTCAATGAAAGCACATCTCCACAAGGGCAACTGACATCCTTCTAGGACCACATTGAGCAACTTCTTTTATGAAATGATGGTAAACGTAGGTGGTAGTTGTCTTTTTTTTTGAGACAGGGTCTTACTCTGTTGCCCAAACTGGAGTGCAGTGGTGCAATCATGGCTCACTGCAGCCTCGAACTCTGGGCTCAAGTGATCCTCGACCTCAACACCCTAAGAAGCTGGTAGCTGAGACTACAGGCACATACCACCATGCCTGCCTAATCTTTTTTTTTTTTTTTTTTTTTTCAGAGACAGGGTTCTCACTATTTTGCCCAGGCTGGTCTTGAACTCCTGGCCTCAAGTGATCCACCCACCTCAGCCTCCCAAAGTGCTGGGATTACAGGTGTGAGCCACTGCACTCAGCCTTCTTTTTTAACTTTTACTCCATGAAATCCAAATGTCTGTGACCTACAGCTATAATAGGGAAAGTACAGAAAAAGAGAAGGGGAAAGGAAGGGACTAAGAAATACCTTTCAGACAAATAGGAAGTAATGAAGACTGCAAAAATAACTACTGACAACAAATAGGCTAAGGAACACTTGGAATAGGTGAGCACATGTCAAAGCAGCAAATCACAGGAGTCTGCATTACTGAGTCTATGAGGGATATGCTGACACGCTAACATTTTTTAAAAGAGATGGAGAACAAAGGGACAAAAGGTGTGCAGGAAGGCAGGTGGAGGTATTCACCTTCTTAAGGCAGAAAAAACAAGAGCCCTAAATGGCCATGGTTCAAGAAGGTTGGCTTTGGCATTTCTAAGAAACCATGAAATAGAGTTTAAAATGTTTAAACAACAAAGATGAATAGAGGCTGTGGGACCAGGAGCAATGGAGCAGAGGCCACCAGTTTGAGCCAGCAAGCAGAATCTACAGTGTCAAAGCGTAGAGATGCTGAATAAATAGCAGAGGGAGTTAATAGTATTATTACTGTCCCATTAAGAGTTACCTGGAACAGGCCGGGCGCGGTGGCTCATGCCTGTAATCCCAGCACTTTGGGAGGCCGAGGCAGGTGGATCACGAGGTCAGGAGATCGAGACCATCCTGGCTAACACGGTGAAACCCCATCTCTACTAAAAATACAAAAAATTAGCCGGGAGTGGTGGCAGGCACCTGTAGTCCCAGCTACTTGGGCGGCTGAGGCAGGAGAATGGCGTGAACCTAGGAGGCGGAGGTTGCAGTGAGCCGAGACTGCGCCACTGCACTCCAGCCTGGGCGACAGAGCGAGACTCTGTCTCAAAAAAAAAAGCAAAAAGAGTTACCCGGAACAAAGCAAGCTTCACCTGGCCCTACAGGCTTTTCCCTTTCTCTCTTTTGACTTGAACTAAGATCACATGTGACATTTATATGCAAGCCTTGAAAAGAACCAAGCTGGTGGCTATAGGAAATTTCTAAACATTCTGTCCTTGACATGCACCAGAGAAAGGGAAGCACAACACCGGGTGGCTAATGGAACTCATGCTTTTCTGGTTTTAGAGCACCCCTTTGCCCAGGGCCTATACAGATCTAAACACACATCAGGACACAC
This sequence comes from Homo sapiens, assembly GCF_000001405.40. NCBI lineage: Eukaryota > Metazoa > Chordata > Mammalia > Primates > Hominidae > Homo > Homo sapiens. The sequence goes on along the minus strand of NC_000014.9, from coordinate 78,053,855 downwards.
TCCACTCAGCCTTTTCCTCTACAACCAAAGCCCATCCTGCCCCATCACCATTCTCCAGCCCCAGAACGCATTTTCCTCCTCACCCTTGCCAGTCATAGAAAACTCAGGAATCCAGGCTAAATACAGCCAAAGGCTTTCCTTGCACAGAACTGGAGCCCAGGAGCCAGCAGCCCACAGCAGGAGGAGAAGTGGTGGCAAATTAAAGCTGGGTGGCCCGAGGGGCAGGGAAAGACCAAGACCATCTCCACACCAGGTGCTGGACATTGTTAGGCAAAAGTGTTCAAATGAAGACCAAGAGGTCTTAAAGAGAAGATGGCACTTCTTTAGACAAGTCCAAACTTTGCCAAATAGGGACGAAGCCTTTGACGCAGTTACTTTCAGGCCACAGCTCTAGTCTATCCTGTCCTGGAAAATCAGAGCTTCATGGAAGAGTCCTATTCATGGGCCCTGGAAAGATGTACAGACCTCAGGGCCAGCCCAGGCCATGAGATGTGCAACATGGGAGAAATGAGAAACAGTCTCTATTGACCTGGACATGGGGCCCAAGAACACAAAGATGAGAGGAATGGTTTGTCTTTTAAGGTCCTTTAAAGCCAGGCATGGTTCACATGCCTGTGGTCCCAGCTACTTGGAAGACTGGAGTGGCAGGATTGCTTGAGTCCAAGAGTCCAGCCTGGGCAACGTAATGAGAACCCATCTCTTAAAAAAAGAAAAAAAGAAAGTTGAAGCAAAAATATGCAAAGTCTTCCTGCTAATATTAACATATCCATAGATCCTGACTCCCTAATAGGTAGTAAAATCAACTAGCAGGTTAAAAGCCTTTTTAAAAACCAAAATAGCATAGAATAGAAAATAGAAGACTAGGCGGGGTGCAGTGGCTTACACCTGTAATCCCAGCACTTTGGAAGGCTGAGGCAGGTGGATCACTTGAGGTAAGGAGTTCGAGACCAGCCTGGCCAACATGGTGAAATCCCGTCTCTACTAAAAATACAAAAATTAGCCAGGCATGGTGGCATGCCCCTGTAATCCCAGCTACTTGAGAGGCTGAGGCAGAAGAATCACTTCAACCCAGAGGCAGAGATTCCAGTGATCTGAGATCCTGTCACTGCACTCCAGTCTAGGCAACAGAGCGAGACTCATTCTCAAAAAAAAAAAGAAAAGAAAGTAGAAGACTGCATCACATGTAATAATGGTGAGTATTGTTTCATGAAGTGTCTCTGTGTCTATGTGTATACTAGGTCTTAATTTAAAATATTTGTTAAAAAAAGAAAAAAGATAAATAATATTTTTAAAAATATGTCAGCTCTAGGGAAAATAATAATAAAATGCATTCATTTACTGCAGATTATTGTCAAAAAGAAATTAAAAGCCACTGTTCTCAAGTAAACTTTGGTAAACTCTTACAAATTTCTAGTCAAATAAATCATTCATTCATTCATTCATTCATTCAGAAATATGTATTGAGTACCTACTCAGTGGTAGGCCTCTGCTGGACACTGGGGATACAATGCTAAGAGTCACAATAGGGAACACACTAACCAGTTGTGCCACAGAGACTGCTTCACAATTGCTACAAAGAGAATAAAATACCTAGGAATACAACTTACAAGGGATGTGAAGGATCTCTTCAAGGAGAACTACAAACCGCTGCTCAAGGAAATAAGAGAGGACACAAACAAATGGAAAAATATTTTGTGCTCATGGATAGGAAGAATCAGTATCCTGAAAATGGCCATACTGCCCAAAGCAGTTTACAGACTCAATGCTATTCTCATCAAACTACCATTGACTTTCTTCACAGAATTAGAAAAAACTACTTTAAACTTCATATGGAACCAAAAAAGAGCCTGTATAGCCAAGACAATCCTAAGCAAAAGCAACAAAGTTGGAGGCATCACACTACCTGACTTCAAATTATACTACAAGGCTACAGTAAACAAAACAGCATGGTACTGGTACCAAAACAGATATATAGACAAATGGAACAGAACAGAGACCTCAGAAATAACACCACACATCTACAACTATATGATTTTCAACAAACCTGGCAAAAACAAGCAATGGGGAAAGGATTCCACTATTTAATAAATGATTCTGGGAAAACTGGCTAGCCATATGCAGAAAACAGAAACTGGACACCTTCCTTAACCTTACACAAAAATTAACTCAAGATGGATTAAAGACTTAAATGTAAAACCTAAGACCATAAAAACCCTAGAATAAAACCTAGGCAATATCATTCAGGACATAAGTATGGGAAAGGACTTCCTGACTAAAACACTGAAAGCAATTGCAACAAAAGCCAAAACTGACAAATGGGATCTAATTAAACTAAAGAGCTTCTGCACAACAAAAGAAACTATCATCAGAGTGAACAGGCAACCTACAGAATGGGAGAAAATTTTTGCAATCTATCCATCTGACAAAGGGCTAATATCCAGAATCTATAAGGAACTTAAACAAATTTACAAGAAGAAAACAAATAACCCCGTCAAAAAGTGGGCAAAGAATATGAACAGACACTTCTCAAAAGAAGACATTTATGTGGCCAACAAACATATGAAAACAAACTCATCATCACTGGTCATTAGAGAAATGCAAATCAAAACCACAATGAGATACCATCTCATGCCAGTTAGAATGGCAATCATTAAAAAGTCAGGAAACAACAGATGCTGGCGAGGCTATGAAGAAATAGGAACACTTTTACACTGTTGGTCAGGGTGTAAATTAGCTCAACCATTGTGGAGGACAGTGTGGCGATTCCTCAAGGATCTAGAACCAGAAATACCATCTGACCCAGCAATCCCATTACTGGGTATATATCCAAAGGATTATAAATCATTCTACTACAAAGACACATGCACACATATGTTTATTGAAGCACTATTTAAATAGCAAAGACTTGGAACCAACCCAAACGCCCATCAGTGATAGATTGGATAAAGAAAATGTGGCACATATACACCATGGAATACTATGCAGCCATAAAAAAGAATGAGTTCATGTCCTTTGCAGGGACATGGATGGAGCTGGAAGCCATCATTCTCAGCAAACTAACACAGGAACATAAAATCAAACACCCCATGTTCTCACTTACAAGTGGGAGTTGAACAATGAGAACACATGGACACAGAGAGCGGAACATCACACACTGGGGCCTGTTGTAGGGTGGGGGTCAAGAGGAGGGAGAGCATTAGGACAAATACCTAATGCAGGGAGGGCTTAAAACCTAGATAACGGGTTGATGGGTACTCCAAACCACCATGGCACATGTATACAAACCACCATGGCACATGTATACATATGTAACAAACCTCCACATTCTGCACATGTATTCGAGAACTTAAAATAAAATAAAAATAAAAATAATTTTAAGAAAGAGTCACAATAATGAATAGTATTTGCACAGTTCTGGTTATATCTGGACACTCTCCTAAGTTCTTTACTTATGCTAAAGAATTTAGCCCTTACAACAAGCCTATGAGATAGGCTTCGTTATCATCAACATCTTTGTTCAGATGAGGAAACAGGTACTATGCAACTGAGTAACTTACAGGTCACACAGCTGGTAAGTGGCAGAGCCGAAATGTGAAACTGCCCAGGCTAGCTGCAGAGTCCCTGGTCTTCTCCATGAAGCTGTCATGCCCAAGGATTTGCCCTATGGCTCCCAGCAATATCCTTGTCACAGAAGTAGATCGTCTAAACCCAAGACCACCACAGATTGGACACATATTACTAACTCCCTGGTGTGAACTTGTACTGAATGGTCAAATGGAGGCTATGGTTTGGCTTCTAAGAAACCTGCCGTAGGAGAGAGAACACACTGCCCAGAATGGCCATTCCCTTTGGCATTTCTCCCTATACCAATTGATGGACTAGCATTCTCTTGATAGGAATTATATACCTCAGTGTCAATTAGCTTCATGGGCTGATAGATCAGTACTTGGAAGCTGTAAGCCTGAGGTTCAGTCCTGGACCTCAGGGACTGCAACAAGGAAATGCCCCTCAACATTTATGTGCCCTTGGCAGTTACCCTTCTGTGCCTTGGTTTCCTCCACCGTGAAAGAGGGATGACAACAATATCTACCTCATAAGGTAGATGTAGGCATTTAATGAAATAGTATATGTAAGGTGTTTAGCAAATGCCTAGCATATAGTAAACACCCACTTAATGTCAGCAAAGTGTTATTATTTATTTAGTGTTTACTAGCACTGAACTCAACCAATGGGAGAGAGAATGTGTAAGCCAATCACACCTGTAGAATGCTATGCAGAATGGAGGAGTTCTGGAAAGAGACTTAACTCCGCCAGGAAACTTCACAGAGGAGATATTACCTTGAAAAGAGTCTTGAAGAATAAACCAATGGGTGAAGCATGGGGAAAAGGACATTCCATCCAAATAGAGGGAATAACTTGGCAAAGACAAAGAGGACCTTCATGAACAAAGTATAAATGAATAAAATATATATAAAATATATAACAAAGTATAAATGAATAAAAATATGTCAGCACAATTTCCCCCTAATGCAGGCATGCCCATGAACAAAATCACTCAAAAAATCTCCAGCAAAAACTCCTGTAGCATGAGTTTTTTCCAAAGTTGTTTCAGATGTTGAAATATACATGTAACGTGCATATGTATACATACTCATTTCTAGGCAGGTGAAAATCTCAGCCCTAAAAGAAATTTTTTTAAAAAAAGTCTGTTCATATCCTTCACCCACTTTTTGATGGGGTTGTTTTTTTCTTGTAAATTTGTTTGAGTTCTTTGTAGATTTTGGATATTAGCCCTTTGTCAGATGAGTAGATTACAAAAATTTTCTCCCATTCTGTAGGTTGCCTGTTCACTCTGATGGTAGTTTCTCTTGCTGTGCAGAAGCTCTTTAATTAGATCCCATTTGTCAATTTTGGCTTTTGTTGCCATTAGAGATATACCTAATGTAAATGATGAGTTAATGGGTGCAGCACACCAACATGGCACATGTATACATATGTAACAAACCTGCACGTTGTACACATGTACCCTAGAACTTAAAGTATAATAATAATAAAAAATATATATATATATATAAAAAGTCCCCAAATGCATTAGAAAAGGGAATCTCTCCCATGAGGCTGGACATTCTTTAGAGAAGTGTTTCTCAAAGTGTGGTTCCCAAACCTGGGGAGTTGGAAATGCAGATTCTCAGCATTTGCATCAGACCTACTGAATCAGAAACTCTGGACGCGCAGCCCAGCCATCTGTGTCTTAAAGCCTCCAGCTGATCCTGATGCACACCACAGTTTGAGAACTGCCGCTTTAGAGAAACTCACCAAGAAAGAGACAGAAAACCACCAGCAGCAGCAACAGCAGCAACAGTCCAGGCAACACCTGGTATGAAGAGCCATGCTCACAGTACCTAAAGAAAGGTACAATTTAATACAATGGCTGAAGAGCTCAGGCTCTGCAATTCTCACAGCCCTGGGTTTGAACCCCAGCTTTCACACTTGCTGGCTGCCACTTCCCTTAGCCCCTGCATCTGCAAAATAGAGATAATGATTCCTCCCTCTTAAGGTTGTTCTAAGGACTCAAGAAGACCTTATCTGTTAGGCACTTAGCACAGAACAGCACATTAAGTGAAAGCCACTATACCAGAAGGGAAACTCAAGCAAATCCATCCTCTGCAAAAGTGTTAACATCTCTATGAGTTCAACGTCCTCTGGAACAGCAGTCTAAATGGGGTACTCATACCCTAGTGGGTACAAGCAGACTTGGTTTGGGGGCATGAACAGATTTGTGAAGCTCAGTTTCCAGATCCTCAGTTTTCCTACAGGTTCTCCTGAAACTGATCTGCCTGCAAAGGGGACATGAAGCAAATTCTCTTTCCCTGCCTTCTCTTTCCACAGGAGCCCTTCTCCCACGTAACAGAAGAAAGCCACAGTTCTCAGCTATCCCAAATCTTAATACGATGCATCATGGAATATAAATGTCCAGGGCTCTAACAGAGAGTAAACGGAAATACTGAGGTTGTGAACAATGATTAGATAGCAAATCCATTTGCAAGTGAACAGCTCAAACAATGGGGTAACAAGTTCTTTTCCAAGTCAAGCGGTTCCTACATAACTGAAGGAAGCCCTAATTGAGCTGTAAATTGATAGATGATTAAAGATAATTTTTGATGATAGATCACTGTGACTTTTAAATATATGACTTGAAAGCAGCTCAAATAATTCAAATGTATCAATATTCCTAACATTTCCACCTACTTATGTGAGCAACATTTTCAGCCCTTGTGTCTTAACAAACAAAAAAGAGAATTGTAATTGATGCCAACATTTGTCTCATTCTAGCAATAAGTAATATTTGCCCACAGACACATGAAACAATTTTTAAAAATCCTACCCATCTCATAGCAGGTGCATTTCCAATGTAATTTTACTTTTTGTGTCTAATAATTATATATCAAAATATATAATATAGTTATGTTGTTTTTCTCAATTGTGTAGTAGTAATAATTTTCATAATTCAATCCAGAAGAAATTTTTCAATACTCAGAGCCTTTTAGTCACATGAAATGTTTTAAAATGTTATTTCAATTTATATGCACGTTTTTGTTGCAGAGAAGAATGATGCAGAAATCAATAAAACACTTTCAAGCATAAAATATATTACATTAGGATAAAATTTGGTAGGGAAAGTGGAATGAAAATACAAGTTCAAGGAAAAAAAAGGAATGATGGGAAAATTTATAACTACTAAAGAAAAGCTTGTTTGTGTCTTTTTAAATAGAAGGTAGCAGTATCAAATTACTATTTTATACATATATATGGCTTTCATTAGGAACATATAAAAGAACAATGTAATAGGTTCATTTTTAAATGTCAGTATTTACAATATGCCAAATATTATATCCTTTTCAACTATGCATAGTTACAATTTAAAAAGTAGATATCAAGTCTAAAATATGCAAGGGGGTACATTGTCTTTCAACATTTTTTCAAGAGCTATGCAAGGAAAAAAATGTAAAGACCTTTGCTCTGAAAAACGTCTTCCTTTTTTTCTCCTTTTTTTCAACAATTGAACACAGTAAACAGGAATTACATTCTCAGTGCTATATTAGATGCTAACGAGCATTCCAGAGAAGTAACAGGGTTTGTCTCTGTCAAAGACTGGCCATTTAGTGGAGCCAACCAGAAAACAAGTAAAACATTTGAGGTATGTGCCAGACACTGGTCTTCCCCACATAATATTTATGTTCTCCTGTGTCCTTGCTAAGCAAACCCAGATTGTGTTTAGGACAGCAATGTGCCCAGGTAAGTACTCATTTTTCTCAGCCTCCCTTCCCATTAAGGATGGTCATATGACAAAATTCCAGCCAATTAGATGCAAGTGAACATCTGGGAAGTTCTGAGAAAGCTTTTGCTTTCCTAATAAAATCATAGAGATGAGGCTGGCTCTGGCCGTCCTTTTTTCTAACTTGCATGCAGACACAATGCCCGGAGCTACAGCAATTATGCCAAACTATGAAGCAACAAGCATGAGGACAGAAGCCATTGTATGAAGGATGACAACCTGAGCATGTGGAAAGAGCCTGGGTCCCTGATGACACTGTTCAACAGTGAACTAATGCCAACAAGAGCCCACCTCTGGATCTCCAGCTATATTAAATACATACATTCATGTACCTCTTTTGCTGTAAACTACTGTTCCTTGGGCGTTCCAGTTACTTTTGGTGTGTAACAAGCTACTCTAAAACTTGGTGACATAAAAAAGTCATTTGCATGATGTTTTATGACCTAGACTCATGCAGAAGTCATGTAGTATTGTTTCTGTGGTACTCAGTTGGCCAATGAGTCCCCAGATTCAAGGGGAGGAGACATGGACCCCCACCTCTCAATTGGAGGGGTGTCAAAGAACTTGCAGCCATTTTTTAAACTATTTGTCAAATAAAGATTAAATATATTCAAGGTATATGATGTAATGATTTATGTGTATACTGTATAATGATTAGCACAGTCAAATTCATTACCACCCATCCTGTACATTAAGTCCCCAGAACATTTTCCTCTTATAACTGCAAGTTTTTTCCCTTTGACCAGCATCTCCCCATTTCCCCCACCTTCCAGCCCCTGGCAACCTCCATTCTAATCTCTGCAGCTTCTATGAATTCAACTATTTTAGATTCCACATATAAAAGTGAGATTGTATAATATTTCTTTCTGGGTCTGGCTTATTTCACTTAGCATAATGTCCTCCAGGTTTACCCATGTTGTTGCAAATGGCAGAATTCTTTTCTTAAGGATGAATAATATACCTTTTTTTTTTTTTTTTTCAAAACGGAGCCTTGCTTGGTTGCCCATGCTGGAGTGCAATGGCACAGTCTTGGCTCACTGCAACTTTCACCTCCTAGGTTCAAGCAATTCTCCTGCCTCGGCCTCCAGAGTAGCTGGGACTACAGGCGCATGCCACCATGCCCAGCTAATTTTTGGTATTTTTAGTAGAGACTGGGTTTCACCATGTTGCCCAGACTGGTCTTGAACTCCTGAGCTCAGGCAATCGCCCGCCTCAATCTCCCAAAGTACAAGGATTACAGGCATGAGCCACCGTGCCCGGCCTTTTATTTTTTTATTTTTATTTTTATTTTTTTGAGACAGAATCTCGCTCTGTTGCCCAGGCTGGAGTGCAATGGCACAATCTCAGCTCACTGCAACCTCCACCTCCCGGGTTCAAGCAATTCTCCTGCCTCAGCCTCCCAATTACCTGGGATTACAGGTGCCCGCCACCACACCCAGCTAATTTTTTGTTTTTGTTTTTTTTTTTTTCGGTAGAGACAGGGTTTTGTCATGTTGGCCAAGCTGGTCTTGAATTCCTGACCTCAGGTGATCCACCTGCCTCAGCCTCCCAAAATGCTAGGATTACAGGTGTGAGCACCATGCCCGGCCAATATTCCATTTTATATATCACATTTTCCTTATTCATTCACCCATGGATAGACACATTGCTTCCACATCCTGGATATTGTGAATAGTGCTTCAGTGAACATGTAGGTACAGATGTCTCTTCAAGGTACTAATTTCCTTTCCTTCATGTATATGCCTTCTGGATCATATGGTAGTTCTAGTTTTCATTTGTGGAGGAACTTCCATACTATTTCTGTATTGGTTGTACCAATCTACATTCACACCAACAGTATACAAGGGTTCTCTTTTCCCTACACTTTTCCCAATATTTATCTCTTGTCTTTTTGATAATAGCCATCCTGACAGTGATGAGGTGATATCTCATCATGGTTTACATTTGTATTTCCCTGATGGTTAGTGATGCTGAGCACCTTTTCCTAGACCTATGGCCATTTGTATGTCTTATTTGGAAGAAAATTTCTATTCGGGCCCTTTGCCCATTTTTTAATTGGACTATTTGGTTTTTATGCATCCTTTTTTTTAAACCACAACATTGGTTGGGGTTTTCTTCCTTGCAACTTAACACATTCCTAACTGATACGATGGATGATATAAAATGTACATGAAGTTGAACAGTACAGTTGTGCTGTTTGAGCTCAAAGGAGGAGGGAATGATGAGAGAATTAGTCAAGAAAGCCTTCATCATAAATAAACATTTACTGAGGGTCTGCAGGTACACAGCCCAGAATAAAATGTCTGCAGAAATACGGCAAGACTCGATGTCTGTCTCTAACGCTAAATATGAGTTCAGATCTCAATCTAATATTCACAAGTAACTTGGCTTTGGAAAATCCTAGCTCAGACTCAGTTTCTATAATGGCAAAATTGAAAGCATGTATCACGGTTATGGTGAGGCTTAAATAAATAGCATGAGAAGGGCCTAGCATGTGCATGGCACCTATAATGCTCAATAAATGTTGTACATTTGTTTAGACGTTCAAGGAATATACACATGTGGGAAAATTAAATGAGCATCAAACAGAAAATTGACAGAGAGATAGTATTCCCCAAATGTAAGTCAGAGCCCCAAATCTCCCTTATGATCTCAGCAAGCCCTACTGAAATTGATATGGTGCAAAGTTTAGAGTATTTGGACCAATTTTTGTCTAGTAAAATTGGAACACACTTTAGATCTCCTGGTGCCCAGGCTAAGAGTCAAGGTTTTTTCATGCAAAGCCCATCCCAGCATTGCTACCAATCTGGAAAATTCTAGAGCATTTTTTCACAAGAGGTCAACCATCCAAATCTGGGATAAGTTTTCTAAATATTAGATCTAAACTGATTTATCCCTAAACACATTGGGCCACAATCTTCCTGAATGGATTAAGTCAGACCTTCTATTTTTAGTAGCTAGCTCATTCAGTCACATTTCCTTACTATAAATACCTGAGTGCACTTGTTTTAAAGTAGAATTCTTTTGTCATCTGATTGTCCCAGACTAGATGAGATGCAGATAAGGGACGATAATAAAAAATGGAATGGGGAGAGAACAGAAGAGAGACTGTATTTCTTTAGTCAGCTCACTAGCTATTTCACAGACTCCAAGACCCACAGTAGACTGCACACAGGAGAAAGCCCAGAGGTTCTAGCCCTTTTCAACTCATTAACCTTGAGAAGTTGGCAGCTGTTTGGGACTCAGTGGAGACACCCAGGCTCTTTTCTATCATCTCATCCATTGACAGTTTCCCTTCTAGAGTCCCAGAGCTCAGTCTCCCTACTCAGAGCATGTGGATACTCACCCCAGCTCACAGGCAGGCCGAAGACAGACTCCCCATAGCCTCATCACTCTTTAGTGAAAACTATTTATTGTACTATCTCATATCCATCTGCCTGGAGTCCCAAGGAGGACACTTGTCTTTCAAAAAATATTGATCAAACCCCTACTGAGCTCCAGGCACTATGAAAAGATAGTTCAGAGTCAGATTAAGGGGTGAGTCTGCCAGGCAGGTGCCTGGAGCACCAGCGCATAAGGAAAGGTGCACCAAACCTCACAAGGGTGCTAGTGTGTCACTGGAAACAAGGAGATGGAGGGGAAAATGTTCTTCTCAAAACTCTTCTCAGGAAATGTAGAGTAAGGGTTGAAGGAATATTGTAAAATGATCCTGGATATGTGGCTAAGACCCCTAAAGGCTGTGCTTTCATAGTGGATATTTGTCAAATTAGGGAGGCCGCTATCTAACTATTCTCCTTATTTTAAGGAGGGGCCCATATCTCACTATAGAAATCTGAGGAGCAGATATTCCCTCTCCCATTCTTCAACGGCCTGAGAGACTGACCCAGGCTTGGCCAATTGGATGCTTCTACATAGGACCCTGAATCATGGAAGAAAGTGATGTCAAGACATGGAGCAAATCAAAGATGTCAGAGATGACGCACCAGCCACTGCAGAATCAAGGGCCCCAACATGTTATGGTGAGGTCCGGGGATGGCAGGATCCACAGTGACATGCTAAGGTAACTCTTCTCTGGTTCCTATACATTTTCTGATTCTCCACCATATGCCCAAGATTCTGTAAAACTGCCATCATAAAACCCTTTTTTGCTTAAATTTTTGTTTAAATTTCTGTTTTTCTTCTTCTACACTGGAAGAATATTTGAGTATCAACAGAAGCTGCCTTCTAAGGACAATGGGGCCAGTTATCTTCAGGACATTCATCTCAGGCAGGGGCTAAATTGGTTAAAGGACAGGGAAACTGACGTTCCACCAGTAGTCTTCCTTCCCCACTCTTCTACTCACTCTCCCAGTTTTCAGCTCCTCCCCCAAATTGAAGTTGAACATTTCATTTGAACAAATATACTGATTCAAGGAGGGCAAGATGTTGTCACCAGTCTACCAAGATTCCCACATGTCTCAGTCTGGGCACCCCACCTGAAGATCTCAGAGGGTTACCAAAGCTCACTTATGTAGACTTCAGACACCATGGGACCACTGTGATCCCAAGCAGCAGCTAATAGGGAGTAAAGTCTCCAGGGCTCTGACAGATAAGTGAAATGCAGATGTGTTCCAAATAATAGAAAAGAAAAAAGCATTCATCAAATATTTCCCAAGACAATTCATACATTATGACCAAGTGGGGTATATCCTAGGAATGCAAGGCTGGCTTAACATTCAAATGTCAATCAATGTAATTCACCATATTAACATAACCAAAAAAAAGACCATATGATTATCTCCATTGGTTCAGAAAAATATTAGGAAATGGTTCATAATAAAAGTTCTCAGTAAGCTAAGAACAGGGGAAAAAAAAATCCTCAATCTGATAATGGATATCTCTGGCAAACTTACAGCTAACATTATACTTATGGGGAAAGACTGGATGCTTTCCCCTTAAGATCAAGAACAAGGTAAGACTATTTGCTCTCACCACTTTTATTCAACATTATACTGAAGGTCTTGACAACTTTAATAAGGCAGCAAAATAAACAAAAGGCATCTAGATATCAAAAGAAGTAAAACCATCTTTGTCACAGATGACACGATTGCTTATGTAGAAATCCTTTAAAATCTGCAAAACAGCCAATTTTAGAAAGAACACAGGATCGAGGTCAATATTTTAATAATTTCTACATGACAGAAACAAAGAATTAGAAATTAAAATTTAAAAGATATTAATTTTTTACAATACTGTATTAGTTCTTTATTATTGCATAATAAATTACCTTAAAATTTGACAGCTTAAAGCAATAAACATTGTATTTTTTATCTCACACAGCTTCTGAGAGTCAGGAATCTGGGAGCAGCTTCACTGGGTGGCCTGGCTTAGGGTCTCTTGAGGTTGTAGTCCAGATGTCAGCGAGGGCTGCTGACATCTGAAGGCCTGACCAGGGCTGGAGGATCCACTTCCAAGAAGACTCCTGCACAGTGTTGATGGAGACCTCAGTTCCTCGTTGAGGAAAGTTCTAGTTTCCTCGTTGAGGAAAATCTAGTTCCACATAGACCTTCCAATAGAGCTGCTCCCAGTGTCCTCTAGAACAGGCAATTCAAACAAGAGCAAAGAAGACATGATGTCTTTTATGTCTTTTAGTACCACCTAGTCTCAGAAGTAGCATTCTATCACTTCTGCTATATTCTCCTGGTCACACAGACCAACCCTGGTACCATGTGGGGGATAGGAGGGACTGTACAAGGGTATGAATACCAGGAGGGAAGGATCACTGGGGGACAATCTGGAGGCTGGTTGCCACAAACACCATTTACAATAGCATCAAAAAATATGAAACACTTGTGGATAAACTTAACAAAATATACAGTAGTCCCTCCTTATCCACAGGGGATATAGTTGAAGACCCCCAGGGGATGCCTGAAACTGTGGATAGTACTGAACTCTATAGACGCTATGTTTTTTCCATACATACATATGATAAAGTTAAATTTATAAAATAGGCACAGTAAGAGATTAGCAACAATGACTAATAATAAAACAGGATAACTATAACAAGATACTGTAATTAAAGTTACATCAATGTGGTCGGTCTCTCTCTCTCTCTCAAAATATCTTTTATTATACCATGGGTAACTGAGACCTTGGAAAGTGAAACCATGGATAAGGGGGAGCTACTGTATGCTAAACCTCTACACTGAAAACAACAAAATAGCCACCGAAAAAAAAAGACCCAAATAAGTGATGACATATATGTTTACAGATTGGAAATCTCAGTATTAGGGTATCAGTACCTCCTAAACTATTGGGATTCAATGTAATCTGCATCATAATGCCACCAGGTTTTTCCTTATCAGAAATTGACAGCGTGATAATAAAATTTATATGTAAATGCTCAGAACTTAAAATAGCCAAAACAACTTTGAAAAAGGAGAACGAAGTTGGAGGATTCAGACTACCTCCTACACTACATGCTAAAATAGTGTAAGAGCTACACTATTTTAAGATTTGCCATAAAGCTACAATAATAAAGATAATGAGCTATTAACATAGGGCAGACATATAGATCAATGAAACAGAATAGAAAGTCCAGAAATAGATCCACTCAGATACGGTCAATTGATTTTTGACAAAAATGCCAAGGTAATCCGATGGAAAAAGATCTTCAACAAATGTTGCTAGGACAATTGAATATCCACAAGCAAAAAATACGTCTTGAAACTTGCTTCACACTATGAATGAAAATTTACTTAAAATTGATCATAGGCCTAAATGTAAAAGCTAAATTAAAAACTAGAAGGAAACATAAGAGAAAAATTTTGTGACCTTAGTAAAGGCAAAAATTCTTAGTATATAGAAACATGTACTCTAGAAGAAAAAAATTTTTGATAAATCAGACTAGCTCAAAATAAAATCCTCCTATTCTTTGAAAGACAGAATTTTTTAAAAAGGCAAACCATAAACAGAAAAAGTATATGTGCAATACATACATCTGTAAAAAGGCTTATATCTAGTATATACGAAGAACTCTTGTAGCTCAATAATAAGATATTAACTCAATTAAAAAGAAGCAAAAGATTTGAATAGACACTTCACAAACGAAATACAAATGGCAAATATGCAAATGAAAATATGCTCAACATCACTGTCATTAGGAAAATGCAAATTAAAACCACACGATACTGCTACCACCACTAGAATAGCTGAAATTAAAAAGAGAGCAGTACCAAGAGTTGGCAAGTATGGGGAGCAACTGGAGATCTCATACTTTGCTGGTAGGAATGCAAAACAGGGCTGGGCATGGTCGTTCATGCCTGTAATCCCAGCACTTTGGGAGGCCGAGGCAGGCGGATCACTTGAGGTCAGGAGTTCAAGACCAGCCTGGCAAATATGGCAAAACCCCGTCTCTACTAAAAATACAAAAATTAGCCAGGCATGGTGACACACACCTGTAATCCCAGCTACTCAGGAGGCTGAGGTGGAGAATCGCTTGAGCCCAGGCTGCAACCCAGAGGTTGCAGTGAGCCAAGATCGCACCAATGCACCCCAGCCTGGGTGACAGAGCAAGACTCTCCACAAAAAGAAAAAAACAAATGCAAAATCATATAGCACTTTTGAAAAGCCTGGCAGTTTCCTGTATAGTTACATATTCACTTACTATATGACCCAGCAATCCCCTGGGTATTTATAAGTGAGGAAACTGAGGCAAAAGAAGAACAAGCTTATCTAAGTACTACAGTTTGAATGTTTGTCCCCTCAGAAACTCATGTTAAACTTAATTCCCGACCAAGTGGGGTGGTTCACACCTGTAATCCCAGCACTTTGGGAAGCCAAGTCAGGCAGGTGACTTGAGGCCAAGAGTTAGAGAGCAGCCTAGCCAACATAGTGAAACCCTGTCTCTACCAAAAAAAAAAAAAAAAAAAAAAAAAAAAAGCCAGGCATGTTGGTGTGCATCTGTATTCCCAGCTACTCAGGAGGCTGAGGCAGGAGGTTCACTTGAACCCAGGAGGTGGAGGTTGCAGTGAGCTGAGATCAAACCTCTGCACTCCAGCGTGGGTGACAGAGTGAGATCCTGTCTCAAAAAAGAAAAAACAAAACAAAACTTAATCCCCATTGTAATGGTATTAAAAGGTTGGGCCTTTTAGGGTGGGTAGAATATTAGTTTGCTAGGGTTGCCGTAATAAACTACTACAGACTGGGTGACTTAAATAACAAATTTATTTCTCACAGTTCTGGAGGCTGGAAGCCCAAGATCAGGGTGTCAGCAGTTTTGGTTTCTCCTGGGGCCTCCCTCCCTGGCTTGTGGGCCGTCTTCTGGCTGTGTTCTCATCTGGCCTTTCCTCCGTGTGTGAGCACACCTAGTGCCCCTTCCTCTTCTTATAAGGACACCAGTCCTATTGGGCTAGGGCCTCACCCTTAAGCCCTCATATCATCTTAATCACCTCTTCAAAGGTCCTGTCCCCAAATACAGTCACATTGGAGGTTAGGGTTTCAAAATATGAATTTGGGGGAAAAATATAATTCAATTCATTACAAGGGGCTACGTAATAATCACACAAGACACAAGTGAACCCCAAATTTATCCAAAATGCATTTGCTGGGCATCTGGACACCAGGCTCTACCCAGGCACATTTTCATATCGCCTTCTAGTGATTCTTCATACAGTTGTGCCTCTTTTAATACAATGGATGGGATTTTGTCCTGTAAATTGAATTCTTATGAAATGGGAGAAAAGAGAAAAGAACTGAGGCTTAACTATTTCTATGCCTCAGTCTACCGCAGACCAAGATGAGAGAAAAACCCCTGAAGAAGAGTGAAAGGAGGGGACTGAACCACCTGGAAGACAAAGGACCCCAAACTGAAAACAGAGCACCCGTTTCCTCCAGTCATCAGAACATGCGAATCCAGCCACCTGGGTGCAGTTTCAACATAATTTATTCAACTCGTCAACTATTTACCAAGCATCAGTTATAACCAATAATAGCAAAGCTGTCATTCCCTGAGGCAGAATTGATAAGGGGTTAGGAGGGCAGGCTCTACCTTTGAAAGAATGAGGTCAAGCTATATGGAACAATCTCTAAGATAATAAGTGACAAAAATTAGGTGCAAAACAGTACTGTAGCAAAGGGTATTTGTAGAAAGAACAGGAGATATATATGCTTGTTTATGCAGAGAATACTGTAACCATGGGAACAGCCCAAACTGGACCTATTCTGTTAACAAAATGTCCAGTTACCTTTTAGGTACAACAGAGCCAGAAACTGCAAGTGCATGCAACTGAAAAAGACTTTGCCTCTAAAAACATCTGAGATCAACAATTCCTCCCCTCAGAACCAAGGAAACTGGGACATGACCAGAACCTGAACACCAGAACTCTTTCAGAAGCAAGGAGTCCATTGGCCTGGAAGATCTGGTGCTAAAATCTGCTTCAGCATCCCTTACCACAAATGGTCAAATTTGAAGCCCTCCAACCAGACCCTGCCAATTTAACATTCCTAAATCCTGGCTGGGCATGGTGGCTCACACCTGTAACCCCAGCTCTTTGGGAGGCCAAGGCAGGATCACGAGGTCAGGAATTCGCGACTAGCCTGGCCAACATGGTGAAACCCCATCTCTACTAAAAATACAAAACTTAACCGGACATGGTGGTGGGCACCTGTAATCCCAGCTACTCGGGAGGCTGAGGCAGGAGAATTGCTTGAACTTGGGAAGCGGAGGTTGCAGTGAGCCAAGATCGCGCCATTGCACTCCAGCCTGGGGAACAAGGGCAAAAACTCCGTCTCAAAAAATAAAATAAAATAAAATAATTCCTAAATCCTTTCTCTTTCCCTCTAATCCCTTAAAATTTAGACCCCAAATGATGGAGACAGATTTAAGCGCACTCTTGTCTCCTTGCTGACTGGTTTTGTGATAAAGCCTTTCCTTTCTCAAAAGCCAGTGCCATAGTTATTAGCTTCTGTGCACATTGGGCAGTGAGCCCATTCGCCAAATAAAAATATCTCTGGAAGGATTAAAAAAAAAAAAAAAACTAGTAAAACTTATACTATTTTTGGCCACAATGGAATAATAGAGAACAGATTTATCCCCTTGCCTTGCAAAACAACTTAAAAAAAAAAAAACAGACAAAATAAAACAATAGTTTTAAGACACTGAGCGTCAGACAGTACAGGACTGCTAAGAGAAGGTAAAAGAAGGGAAACAAAAGAGGAGAGTCCTACAATAACCTCAGCTTACGGCCTGAAGTTTGCTTCCAGGCCACGATGCAGGGAGGAGGAACTGAGGCAGAGCTCAGTGGTCTCCCTGAATTAAGAAGACAGAGATTGCAGTTCAGGGTGGCCAAAGCAGCTAAATTTGCAGAGCCAAGAATCAGAGAAGAGAAAGCTGCATACAGAAGCGCTCCAGTGATTGGCAGAGGGGTCCCCTATGGTCTGGGCCTGGGTGCTGACTGGCACATGTGTAAGAAGCAGCTACCTGCAGCTGGGAAAGGACCACTGGAGAACAGGAAGCCAAGCAATTTTCAGATATCACATAGGGCTGGAAATAGGTTGTGTTCCCAACAGCCAGAGATGAAAGACCTCATAATACGCGGGGCATTGGGTAGAATACTCAGAAGTGGGGGTACACTAGCCCTAGACTAAAGACTATTCTGGATCAGCATAATGAAGCTTCAAAGTAGGATTTCAGGAGCGGATGATTAGGGGGCAGGAGTGAAAGGGGGTGCTCACAGCCAGCGCTTGAAGTATAACTACTTTGTCACTGTACATCCTTTTATGCTGTTCAGAATTTTTACTGTGTGCATTTCTTTTTAAAAACATTTTACAGGAGGAAAACTCTAAAATCAAACTGCCAGGGTGACAATCTGGCTCCAGTCCTTGTGAGCTATGTAAACTCAGGCAAGTCACTCAACCACCCCAAGCCTCGGTTTTCTCATTGGTGGAGTGGATTTTCTTTGGATTGTTGTGAAGATTAATTGAAATGTTCATAGAAGAACTAGAAGTGCCTGGCACTTCTGTACAAATGCTGTTTTTGCTTCCCTCTAATCCATTTCTCATGTTTCTGGCAAAAGCACCCCATTTTTATTTTGGGGAACATCCCTGCCCCATTCAGTCCACATGTTTCAGGAGGGCATGATTCCATCCCAGCTCCAGGGATAGGAGTGTTACCCAGGCCTGACCAATCACCACGTTTCATGCCCCAGCACAGGAAGTAAATTGGCCAAATGAAGGTGGTACTGAGACTCTAGCTGAAAATGTTGAGAAAGAGATACCCTCTTTCCACTAGGGTTGCTACATGAGTAGACTGAAGCTGCTGCTGGTCATTTTCAGGAAGCCAGCTTAAGAATTAAACCAAGACAGAGGAAAACAGAGCCTAGAGATGGATGGAGACGCCAGGCACGGTGGCTCACGCCTGTAATCCCAGCACTTTGGGAGGCCAAGGTGGACGGATCATGAGGTCAGGAGTTCGAGACCAGCTTGGCCAACATGGTGAAACCCCATCTCTACTAAAAACACAAAAATTAGCCAGGCGTGGTGGTGCACGCCTGTAATCCCAGCTACTCAGGAGGCTGAGGCAGGAGAATCGCTTGAACCTGGGAGGCGGAGGTTGCAGTGAGCCCAGATTCCACCATTGCACTCCAGCCTGGGCAACAGAGAGAGACTCCCTCTCAAAAAAAAAGTCGGGGGCCGGGCGCAGTGGCTCAAGCCTGTAATCCCAGCACTTTGGGAGGCCGAGGTGGGTAAATCACCTGAGGTCAGAAGTTCGAGACCAGCCTAGCCAACATGGTGAAACCCCTGTCTACTAAAAATACAAAAATTAGCCAGGCATGGTGGCACATGCCTGTAGCTCCAACTACTTGGGAGGCTGAGGCAGGAGAATAGCTTGAACCCAGGAGGCGGAGATTACACTGAGCTGAGATCACGCCACTGCACTCCAGCCTGCGCGACAGATCAAGATTCCATCTCGAAACAAAACAAAAAGAAGAAGAGATGGAGGGAGACACAGTCCGGATGATGTTGTTTGAGTATCTGGATCCAGCCATGCCTAAAGCCAGTTTCTGTCATTTGCAACCAGAAGAGGCCTGACAACTTTAGAAGTAGTTATCACTAATCAATTCATTCAACAAAACACTGAGCCCAGACAAGACACCAGAACTGTGCTAAGAGCTAGACATTCAAACATGAGGTCCTTTCCTTCAAGAGGTTTAGTGGAGGCAACAGACACTAATGCAAAGTGACAACTACTGAGATAGATAGTCCCTGGTGCAGTAGGTGAGGTGCCTAAACTGAAGCTCAATGGATGCTGAAGAAGTAGTCAGGAGAAAAGAGGAAGTAAGAGAATACCAGACAAGGAGGTGAGAGAAAGATGGCGAGACAAGGGAGCAGTGAAGAGACAGGGGCTAATGAAATGAGCAAGGAGAAAATCACGAAGCACTTCATACTTCATGCCCGAGAGTGTGGACTTCATATTCTGATCATTATGGGCTGCCATTCAAAGATTTAAATCAGGGGAGAAATAAGATCAGATTTTTGTGTGGAGAATAGATTGGAAGGCAACACAGGTAATGGAGGCCAATTAGGAGGAGGTGGGAGTAATCCATGCTTAAAATTATAAGGGACTGAATTAAGAAATTAGTAGGGATGAAGAAGTGTTTTAAAAAATGAATTTGAGATGTTTTAAGGAGGAAAATTGACTGGACCTGGAGCTAAAGGATAATGTTTGGAATATTAAAATAGGAATAATAATTAACATTTTTATAGTACTTACTCCCCATCAAGTCCTGCTGTAATGCTTTACATAAATTAACTCCTTCAATCCAGCCCCATGAGGTAATACTATTGTGATTTCTTACTTTACAGACGAAGAACTGGGCCACTAAGAGGTGAAATTAACCAATCTAAGGTTATACTCTATCAAGTGATGTAATTGCATTCAGAATGGTGGCAACTCAGGACCCCAGCCAATGCTGTAAGCCACTACACTCACTGCCTTTCTCATGCCCATTGTTTAAAAGGTAGGCAAAAAATAAGAGGAGCTAGCAAAAGAGAATAAAAACAACAGAAGAGGCAGGGTGTAGCCTGGACAGTGTATTGTCACTGAAACAAGGAAGGAGAAAGCTTATTTCTTAACTCAGGTGTAATTAAATACCCAATCATGTAATTGGAGAAAAACAGGCTGGGCTTAGCTTGGAAGAGTGGGAAGTATTTTCTCACATATTCTCTCTTTTGTTTTACATTTCTATGAAAGAGATGTTTTTATAGCCCCACCCTAGCCATGTGGAAACTGAGGCTCAGAGAGCTCAGGGCTAATAAGTGACCTGGATATGATCTGTGTGCCAAGCTCGGTTCACTGTAGTGCCGTCCAGGGCCCCAGGGGTGTATTGGGTAGAAGAGGGGCACACAAGGATGGTCACATCCTCTGCTCCCAGTGGGTCTGTAATCTTGTCGCTCTAATGAGGCGAGAGCAGATGAAAACATTAGGATAGCGCTAAGGCAACACAGAGGTGTGCACCTGGCTGAGTGGTGCAGACTCCGAGTGCCTAGAGCAGGTGAGAAGGCGGTGCTCTGGTGGTGGCAGGTGAGGTAGACATGGGTGGGGCATTGAAGGAAATACAGGGATTGCCTGGGCTGGGCCATCCCCCGGTGCCCTGATTTGGTAGTGGGCATCTGCTGTTTCTGCCTTTGCAGCTGCCCTGCTGTGTCCCGCCCAACTGGGAATCCACACAGTTTGGATAGGGCTGACCTCATGCATCTCTCAGAGTGCAGGGGGTGGGCACTAGATGCCAGCCTGGCCAGTCACTGGGTTTCATTCCCTTCAACCCAGTGATTGGCTCTGGACTCAATCCAGCCCAACAAGGCTCAATCTCAGGTGGGTGCTGGGAACATGGAGAAGGGGAAACACTCTCTCCTGGATGGCTGGATCTAGAAGTAAAGGTAGCCTGGAGGTGCTGGGCCCGTGTTGTGGAAAGGTCACTCTGAGAGTAAGGCCCATATGGAGGAAAGGGGAGAGGAAGGGGAGAGATCTAATGTTTGAGCCCCTGGATCCAGCCACACCTGACTGCAAACATCCCTGGAAGTTATTTGAATCAATAAATTCCCTTCATTTTTGATGTCAGTATAAGTCAGGGTTTCTGTCACTGGCAAGTGAAAGGGGTTTTGTTGCCACAGAACCCCAAAGATGGTATTATGCTCCAGGAAACAAGCCAGCATCAGTCCACCCTACTGAAAGGATAGGAGTTGGGGAAGGGCGTATAGTGAAGTAAAAGCTATCAGAAAAAGGAAAATGCAAAAGAAAATTTTAACAATGACCCATGATGTTGTAGTCAAGCACATGGGTAATAAAACCTAGGTCTGTAAACTAAAGCTGACCTCTTGCCTGTGTAACTGGAGTTTGTTATATATTTCATTGACTGGTACTGATTATAAACCTGTTTATCAATTGTAGAACAAAAAGCAGAATTAGTCACCCTCCATCAGATCCTAAGATGCCTAACCTTTCTTTCTCTCTACCCACTGAACCTCATAGTCACCCTATCTTAGGTACAGCCTCACTGAGCAGCAACGAGAATTTTTTTTTTTTTTTTTTTTTTTTGAGGAAGTCTCCCTCTGTTGCCCAGGCTAGAGTGCAGTGGCCCAATCTCAGCTCACTGCAACCTCTGCCTCCTGGATTCAAGTGATTCTCCTGCCTCAGCCTCCTGGGTAGCTGGGACAACAGGCATGCACCATCACGCCCAGCTAATTTTCATATTTTTAGTAGAGACGGGTTTCACCATGTTGGCCAGGCTGGTCTGGAACTCCTGACCTCAAGTGATCCACTGCTTTGACCTCCCAAAGTGCTGGGATCACAGGTGTGAGCCACCGCATCTGGCCAGCAATGAAAACATAACTCCTGCTACACCTCCTGCTTCTCCCACCTTCTGTGCCACACATGCCCCCTGTTAGAAAACGTGTATGCTGTGAATCATGGAACCAACTTCAGGACACATTCTCAGTCTGTACTGAGTCAGTGTTCCCAGGCTTCAGTCCTCAAGAATAAATCTAACCATGATTTCTCCAAGTTTGGTTGACAGGGCCATGAAAGAGAAAAGGCTTCTGTGGAGGGTGAGACTACTTTGGACTTCACAGAAGGGGTTGTAGTTTCAAATGTATCTCTAAACATTTCACCAAATGGCACTGGGGAAGGTGTAATGCAGGAGGAAAAGGACAGCTCCACATGCGAAGGCAGAGAAATAGAAAAGTACAGAGTATGTTCAGGGTGCCACATGCGGTGGGATTTGGCTAGAGGACAAAGTGATGAGAGGCCATCGTGAAAGGTAAGATTGCAAAGGTGCATTAGAAGGCCTCAAATGCCAGGGATGTTTGGGGACACAGATATGACAGTGTCATGGGATCAGAGACATGTTCCTCCTCTATGGCCTCTAGACTTTTAAAAAAGAATTTTAACTTTTTATTTTATTTTTGAGACAGAGTCTCACACTCTGTTGCCCAGCCTGGAGTGCAGTGGTGGGATCTCAGCTCACTGCAACCTCTGCCTCCCAGGTTCAAGCGATTCGCCTGCCTCAGCCTCCTAAGTAGCTGGGATTACAGGCTTGTGCCACCGCACCCAGCTAACTTTTGTATTTTTAGTAAAGACAGGGTTTCACCATATTGGCCAGGCTGGTCTTGAACTCCTGATGTTACGATCTGCCCGCCTCAGCCTCCCAAACTGCTGGGATTACAGGCGTGAGGCACTGCACCTGGCCAAATTTTAACTTTTATTTAGATATAGGGGGTACATGTGCAAGTTTGTTACACGGGTATATTGCACCCAAGTAGTGGGCATAGAACCCAGTAGGTAGTTTTTCAACCCCTCCCTCCCTCTCCACGCTGGTACT
Source organism: Homo sapiens (assembly GCF_000001405.40). NCBI lineage: Eukaryota > Metazoa > Chordata > Mammalia > Primates > Hominidae > Homo > Homo sapiens. Next base: position 78,030,662 of record NC_000014.9, on the reverse strand, counting down.
CAGCAGTGTCTATTGTTCTCATGTTTATGCCCATGTGTGCTCAATGTTTAGCTCCTACTTACAAGCAAGAACATGTAGTATTTGGTTTTCTGTTCCTGCATTAATTTGCTTAGGAGTATGGCCTCCAGCTCCATCCACGCTACTGTAAAAGACATGATTTCACTCTTTTTTATGGCTACATAGTATGCCATGGTGTATTTGTACCACATTTTCTTTATCCAGTCCACCACTGGTGAACATCTAGGTTGATTCCATGTCATTGCTATTGTGAATAGCACAGCGATAAACATATGAGTACATTTTTGGCAGAATGATCTATTTTCTTTTGGGTCTATACCCGGTAATGGGATTTGTATCTTAGGGAAACCAGAGCAGGCTCCTAAGATGTCACAAAGCAAGTAAAGAGCTAAGTGTCCAGCTAAGAAATGACGGAGGTTCTGTTCCCTGGCTCCACTCCGTGGGGCAAGAGACTACATCCTATCTCTGAACCTGGGTCCCCTCCTCCCTGCTCCCGCCGAGCCCAGGACAGGAGATGAAATGGATCCTCACACAGGCGAGGTCCAAGAGGAGCTTCCCCCCCGCCAGGGTCCCCCACCAGGACACCCCAGCCCTGGGGAGGGGGCACTGAGTTTCCTGGCACCCCTCAGTCTCCCTTACAGTGCCTCTCAGCACCTCACAGCAGCCGCAGCCAAGGGGATTTGTCCCTGCTGCTTGAGTTAATTACAGTAATTATACCTGCTCCCTCTTCGGCTCTGGTTCCCTTTGTTCCCAGTTTCCTGCCCGCTCATTTGCAAATCTAATCGCTCTTGGGATTGAATTTTTTTTTAAGAGAGAAGGGGGATGGAGAAACAAAGAGAGAGAGCAGAAAATGTGGGAGAGAAAAGATGGGGGTGGGGAGGGGCCCGCCGGAGATACAGTGGTGGAAAAAATGGACGGGAGCATCAGAGAAGGGACAGGACTTGGGAGCAGCAAAGCACCTCTCCTTTACGGCAGGGGGAACCCCAGAGTCACCAGTGGAAGCTGGGAAGGTAGCACTGCGGAGACCACAGTCTCCATGGTCTTCTGGGCTTTCTGCTCAGTCCCCCGACTTCTCCCAGGCTAGTGATGGTAGTGATGGGGTTTAGGACATGCTCCCCCAAAATATGGCACCTTGGCATTTCAGGACACAGCAGAAGCAGGCCATCGAAACTAGAAAGAATTCTTCTCATCCCTACACCCCAGAAGAGGCCATAAAACCCAGCTATGAGCCACTCATTCCAGCAGAGTCCTCCCTGTACCTGGAAGAAAAGAATGTTCTTATCCTCAGGTGGGCATGGAGGCTCACACCTGTAATCCCAGCACTTTGGGAGGCTGAGGTGGGTGACCACTTGAGGTCAGGAGTTTGAGACCAGCCTGGCCAACATGGTGAAAACCCATCTCCACTAGAAATACAAAAATTAGCCGGGCGTGGTGGCATCTGCCTGTGGTCCCAACTACTCAGGAGGCAGAGGCAGGAGAATCACTTGAACCAGGAAGGCAAAGGCTACAGTGAGCCAAGATTGTGCCACGGCACTCCAGCCTGGGTGACAGAGTGAGACTCCATCTCAAAAAAAAAAAAAAAAAGAAAATAAAAGAATGTTCTTATCCTCAAAGACACTTATCTAAGAAAAATCTGAATAAACAGGCCTTGCTAAGCTCCCTCCAGTTTCCCACCATCAGATCACACCCTTCTGTCCTCCAGCTATACTTCTGCACAGCCATCCATAAAAATAGAATTGTCCCTGTTTGGGGAGGGTCTTCATTTCTGAATGCTCTCATGTCATATAAAACTTATATTAAACAAATATGTATGCTTTTCTCCTGTTAGTCTGTCTTTTATTATGGGTGCCTCAGCCAGGAATCTTGTAATGGGTGAGAAATCTTCCTCCCCTACACCAGCCTGGCACAGATGACAGGAAGCTGGAAAGAGGCTTGCGTTCAAACACTACCAGAGGATGTCCCTGCTCCTTCATTACTGCTCTCCCCAAGAATCTGTGGAACTTTGGCTCATTCAGAACACCTGGCAGACACTTCAGTGTCAGATGGCTGAGAGGCCAAAGTGGGGAAGTCACACACAGAGCAGGATGGAAGCTGAAAAAATTCCAGGAAGGAGAAATCTGAGACAGCAGTGGTAGGTCTTTCCTCTCTCATTCAGTCCCCTCTCCTGGAAACCCGTAGAAAACATCCAGGTCCAACAGGGTGTGGTGGCTCACACCTGTAATCCCAGCACTTTGGGAGGCCAAGGTGGGTGGATTAGCTGAGGTCAGGAGTTTGAGACCAGCCTGGCCAACATGGTGAAACCCCGCCTGTACTAATAACACAAAAATTAGCCGGGTGTGGTGGTGTGCACCTGTAATCCCAGCTACTCAGGAGGCTGAGGCAGAATTGCTTGAACCTGGGAAGCAGAGTTTGCAGTGAGCCGAGATCACACCACTGTATTCCAGCCTGGGCCACAAGAGCGAAACTCTATCTAAGAAAAGGAAAGGAGAGGGGAGGAGAGGGGAGAGGAGGGGAGGGAAAATCCGGGTCCAAGGATTTTCCAAACGTGCTCTAAGGAGCTCTAAGGCTTCATGAGGAATCCCCAAGGGGAAGGGAGAGGGAACGACAAGTGGGTACCTATATCCTCCCAACACCCCGTCAACAACCTTTTTGTGTGAAAATAATACAAACTAAAAGAAAAAGAATTCCCTGCTATCAACAGATTGGAAAACAACTGATCTAATGCAAATATCTCATCTGTCAGGCATAAGAAACTGAGGCTCAAATGGGTCAAGTGGCATGTCCTATATCACACAAGAATCAGACCACAATCCTCTTGACTCTGAGTCGAGGGGGATTTCCACCACCCCATGCTGTTTCTTGGATGCCAAGGGGATGCCGGGGATTTTCCCAAAGCCCCTGGCTCTTCTTGGGTCCCTCTGGAAAGAGAGGAATGTGACTGCTGGCCTCGTCCTGCCAGAAGCCCTTGGTGAATCCAGGAGTCTTGCTCTTCTGTCCTCTGAATGAGCTCGATAGGTGGTGTGCGAAGAGCGTGTTTTCCAAAAATGGCTGCGACTGTATTTCCCACATTCTCTATTTAGAACCTGGCCACCACCACCACTACCACCCACAAAGAGGTAGACTCCATTTCTTGAGACTGGCAAGGACTTTGTGACTGCCACAAAGAATAAAATATGGCAGAAGTGATACTCCTGTTATATAGTTTCCAGATATTATTTGGATTAACTTGGCAGAATTTCCTATTAATTCACCAGGAAAGGTCAGAGTTCAGGACCATTTGGAGGTGGAAGTGGGAATGGGAGTGGGTGTCAAGAACATCCTACAAATCAACTCTTCCAGATGACAATTTCCCACCTGGGATTCAGCCAGTGTTTACTGAGTGCCTACCATGAGTCAGACGCAGAACAGAGTCCCCGCCCTAAAGGAGCACAGTATAATTGGGGAGGCAGGCACATCCACACTCAGAAGTAATTATAATGCAATAAGTTAAGTTGCCGTTAAAAATAAAAGTTTTGGGGTACTTTGGGAACAGTCAGGAGTATCAATCTCAAATGTTTAGTCTGGGATGGTTCCTATCCATTCAGAGGTGTAAATGTCATCTCATGGTTTTTAGCCCTTGGAATCTAAATCCCTAGTCCAATCCCTAGAACTAAAGGCTTGTGGTACACCCTTGCTTAGAAACAGTCCAGGCTTAATAAATATCTTTTTACATTTTATATAACCCTGTGGAAGACAGGGTTAGCTGTCCCCAAAAATCTACTGTCCCATTCTCCAGAATAACAGGAACCCTGTGTTTTTTGGCTGGGTTTCATGGCCACCTGGAATAGGGATTACATTTCTCAGCCTCCCCTCCTTGAAGCTATATGTGGCCATATGACCAAGTTCTGGCCAATGAGATGTATAGTAGGTGATAAATAAAACTTTTGAGTTGTGTCCTTAAAGGGAGGGAACATGCCCTTCTTGACACCATTTCCTCCTCCTTCCTGCCTGAAATAAGGACATGGTATTGAGGTATTCTGTATGATGCAGATGAAAGAAATGCCTTAGAAATGGCCAAACATGGGTTTCTTGTACCTTAGAGCTCTGTTCCAGCTCTGGTCTGCCTAGCAGCAGACTATTGCTATTCCATGAGAGAGAAATAAGCCCTTGTCCTATTTAAGACACTATTATTTGAGGGGTTATATTAGTCTGGGTTCTTCAGAGAAACAGAACCAACAGGGGATAGGTATGTATATTGTCTTACTTGGTTACGAAGGCTGAGAAGTCCCAAGATCTGTATCGGCAAGCTGGAGACCCAGGAGAGCTGATAAGGTAGTTCTAGCACAAATCCAAAGGCCCAGGAACGAGGAGAGCCAACAGTGGAAGTTTTAGTCCAAGCCCAAAGGCCTGAGAACTAGCAGAGATAATTGTGTAAGTTCCAATCTAAATCTGAGCCCAAGTCCAAATGCAGGAGAAAACCCATGCCCCAGCTCCAAGACAGAGAGCAGATCCTCTCTTCCTCAGCCTTTCATTCTGTTCATCCCTTCAATGGATTGGAGGATGCCTACCCACATTGGAGAGGGCCATCTGCTTTATTCAGTTTACCAATTCAGAGGTTCATCTCCTCCAGAAACGCCTTCACAGAGGGACTCATCCAGAATAATGTCTAACCAAACATCTGAATATTCCATGGCCCAGTCAAGCTGACACATAAGATTTATCATCACAGGGGTCTGTGTTACTAAATCAACTCCTAACAAAAATTGTCCATTAACTTAAACCATTAGCTATTTATTCCTGTGTGCATGCCTACCCCCTCCTCCCCCAACACACACACACACACACACACACACACACACACACACACACACACGCACTCACTGTGCCCTAGCTCCCAGTAGACACTCGAGAATGAACTGAAGAATTTGTTGTTTGATGAGATCAATGGCACAGTCACTAGCATCAATGCTTCCTGCTCTCTGGGGTACCAGCTCCCAAGTGTGCAAGATTAATCTTTCCCACAGGGTTCTGATGCCCCTGAGGGTACCTGCTGGCAGTATGTCATGTGATATGCAAAGTACCTCTTTCCTAGAGACCATTTTGCTCCAAAATGTGATGAAAATAGTTTTGAATTCTTCATCTCTTAAAAGGGTTTTTTTTCTTTAATATGCACAAGACAAAAGCCACAGAATTCTACTTTCTAGTGTCAGCCAATCTTGTACTTTCCATGAACACCAGGAAAGCAGGAAGCATTTATGTGTAAGGAATGATTGAAAGCATTGTTCTTTTTATGTTATCAGTGAAGCCTCAGCAGTATCCCGGTGAACTGGGTCTATTGCTTTAGGGAGAGGAGATTAAGCCAGCCTTAGCCTAAGCATGCTCTGTTGATGGATGTTACATGGGAAAAGAAAGGAAAGGTTTCGTGGTCAAATGAGTTTGGGAAAAGCCTAATTAGAAACTATAAACAAGTTTCTTTGCTGTGGGATTTCTCAGAGCTTTCAATGTGGTGATGTGCATTATGAATCTCAAACAGAAGACCTAGTTTGCAGAGCTGCCCATAGAACAGCTTCTCGTGCACAATTTCATAGTGAAGCATTTCCAAGGAACTCCCTTGTGAATTATGTGATGTGACTGTTCTCACTGTCAGTCATGTCTGTAGAGGGGCAGGAACATATTTTCAGTCTATTAAATTCTAAGAAGTAAATTGCCTGCCCACTCCTGGTATTTTGCCCTTCCCCTTTCTTACTCTCCCCTTCCCATCATGGTGGTTAGTTTTATGTATCAACTTACACAGGTAGGAGTACTCGGTTATCCAATCAAACACTAATCTAAATATTGCTGTGAAGGTATTTTGTAGATATATAATAGTTAACACCTCTGATCAGGCTAAATATCGCTGTGAAGGTATTTTGTAGATATATAATAGTTAACACCTCTGATCAGGCAACTTTAAGTAAAGAAGATTGGCCTTGATTACATGGGTGAGCTTCATCTAATCTGTTGAAAGTCCTGACAGCAAAACTGAAGTGTCCTCAAGGAAGAAGAAATTCCACCTATAGCCTGCAGCACAGCTTCCACCTGAGAGTCTTCCAGCCTGCCCACCTGCCCTACATGATTTGGGATTGTTCAGTCAGAACCTATTAATACAATTATGTAAGCCAATTCCTTGGAAACAGAAAGATATAGAGAAATCAACATGGATATTCGTGTGTGTATGAGCATGTGCGCAAACGCGGAGGCAGGCAGCAGCAGGGAGCAGGGGTGTCACGAGGTTCGTGTATCCTCCTTCCTCTGTTTCTCTAGTAGAACCCTGACTGACCCACCATTGAAACAGATCAGAGGCCAGGCACAGTGGCTCATGCCTGTAATCCCAGCACTTTGGGAGGCCAAGGCAGGCAGATCACCTGAGGTCAGGAGTTCAAGACCAGCCTGGCCAACGTGGTGAAACCCTGTCTCTACTAAAAGTACAAAAATTAGCCGGGTGCGGTGTTGCATGCCTGTAATCCCAGCTACTTGGGAGCCTGAGGCAAGAGAATCACTTGAACCCAGGAGGCGGACATTGCCATGAGCCAAGATTGTGCCACTGTACTCCAGCCCAGGTGACAGAGTGAGACCCTGTCTCAAAAAAAAAAAAAAACAGATCAGCAGGCAGCCTCCTGCTTCCTGCTCAGAACATGGAAAAGTGAGGGACATGGGCCTAACTGGAGAGGCAGTATAGCACAGTGATTAGGACGAGCGACTTGGCAACAGATGGCCTGGGTTTTCATCTCCTCTGCCACTTCTTGTGTGACCTTAGGCAATTTCCTTTTATCTCTCTTTGCTTTAGTTTCCACATCTGTAAAATGAAGCTATTAATAGTACCTACTTCATTATGAGGTTTAATGTTAATCCACAAAGCGCACTTAGGAAAGCACCTAGCACATAGTAAGCTTAATAAAATGTTAGCTATAACTGTTATTTCTTGAAGAGAGTAATCTAGAAGCACCTCTACCCACCCACCCCCACTGCTACCCAGGGCAGGGGAGGCCTCTCTTTCCAGGAGCTGGAGGCAAGGAAACTTTCCCTCTTAAAAAATCTTCTGAGAAAATAGGATTGCGGTGCAGAAGACAGGGGTCTTCTCCCTGGATTACCGAGGGCACCTATGCCCCACCCCTAGGGTTCAGCATGGGCCAGGACACATCCTCTCTCTTCAAGTCTGGTTGATATCAAGTAACATCATTTAACTAGAACTTGATCACTTACAAAAGATCTCCTCCATATGGTCCATTTGGCCCACATCACAGTGGTGTGAAGTGTAATTATTCCCATTTTTCATATGGGGACACTGAGGATCAGAACAGTCACGTGACTTTTCCAACTTCACAGAGCTTGATGCAGATGAGATGAAAAGCAAACCCAATGTTCTTCCCCCAGATCAATGGCCCTCTCATGTGTATGTCTCATTTGGTCTCCCGTGTCTCTTTCTGTCTTTCTCTATGTCTCTCTCTGTCCCTTTTTCTTTTTGATGACTATTTGGCTGTCTTTTTCTCCCACATTTTCTTCTCTAATTTTCATTTCTCTTCCCCCTTTCTTCCTCCTTTTCTTTTCTGAGAGACAGAGTCTCACTCTATCACTGAGGCTGGAGTGCAATGGCACAATCTCAGCTCATTGCAACCTCAGCCTCCTGGGTTCCAGCGATTCTCCCACCTCAGCCCCCGAGTAGCTGGGATTACAGGTTTGTACCACCATGTCCAGCTAATTTTTATATTTTTTGTAGAGATGAGAATCTCGCCATGTTGCCCAGGCTGGTCTCGAACTCGTGAGCTCAAGTGATCTACCTGCCCTGGCCTCCCAAAGTGTTAGGAATACAAGCATGAGCCACTGCACCCAGCCGTTTTTCTTTCTCTTTTCCCTTTCTCTTTCTTCTTAGTTCAGACCTTGGATTCCCCACAATCCATCTAAAACAAAAGGGGCTTAGGGTAATTAGCAGCCCAAGGCGATTCCAACTCCCATTGCCATTGGCGGGGATTGAGCTGTGTGTGTGGAAATACAGGACAACTTTGTTACTCCAGGAATAAGGGCAGAAGAGCTGCTCCTAATAGGGAGAGAGAGAAGCAAGCACTGCCAAAAGCAGCCCCCTCAGCCATCCTGTCCTCTTTTTTCATTTCCATTCTACCCTCATTATAATCCTGTTACGATTATTCTCCTGGAACCCACGGCTTATCCTAAGGGGAGAGAAACTCAAAGAAATAGAGGTGGTAGCGGCACCTCTAAAGGGAAGAGAGAAGCAAGCCTAACCCTGGGCAGAGAAGTGGCTCTGACAGCTGAAGAAGTGAATTCCCATGCAATTTCCCTCATTACGGGAATTGTGTAACTGTTCAGAAGAAAGAAACACAGTTCACTGCATCTGAGAGCCTCTGAAATGGCTGCCCAAGCTACAGGAAGCGCATCATTTTCCCTCCCCACAGTAATGAAGAGCCACAACCAACTGGGCAGAGAAAGGGCGCCACCTCCTGGCAAGACACGAGTTTAGGACCAACAGTTCATGACCCAAGTCACACCTACTACAGGGCAATTTTGCACAACCTTCACTGCCCTATGCTACTGTCACCCATGGCCCCTTTTAGGCCTTGGAAATTAGCAGACTCAGTTGAGCCATGACAAGATGACCCTGCCTCCACTCGACAATTAAATTCAACAAGATCACTATCCTTGTCGGCACAGCCATGTTTAGTTGGGCAACTGTCTTAACATTGTATTGAATTTGCTGTATTTTTTTTAATAACTGGGAAAAGAAAGAGGAAAGTGAGAAGGTAAAAAGTCTTACAAATTTAGGACAACGGAATCAAAGGTGAATATCATCAGGCTTGTCCAAAGTGTTGAATCATTAGTCTTGACTGGCCACCCAGCTCCTCCAGCCAGCCAGCCAGTCTGTGTTCAACTGTAAAGGCAAAAAGAGAAATTAAAGACATTCTAGGGTGCTAGAAATAGAGCAATAGATGTGGTATCTGAAAGGCAAGATGTAACTAGGGCTTATATAATTTGATGAATACCCTTGATAACATGTAAGTGTATTGTTTGGCTTTCAGACATTCTTTTTGTGTGTGTGTGAAATGGAGTCTCACTCTGTTGCCCAGGCTGGAGTGCAGTGGCATGATCCCGGCTCACTGCAACCTCCACCTACCAGGTTCAAGTGATTCTCCTGCCTCAACCTCCCCAGTAGCTGGGACTACAGGCACCCACCACCATGCCCCGCTAATTTTTGTATTTTTAGTAGAGACAGATTTCAGTATGTTGGCCAAACTGGTCTCCCACTCCTGACCTCAGGTGATCCGCCCACCTCAGCCTCCCAAAGTGCTGGGATTAAAGGCGTGAGCCACCATGCCTGGCCAGCTTTCAGATATTCTGCTTCTATATGTTTTATCTGAAAGTATATTATGACCAAAGCAAAGGTAGCAGTATCTTCCCGGCTTCGAGGTACAGGCCAAGCAGTAAGTGATTAGACTCCGTTTCCCCAGAAATGACACCCTCTGACACCATCAGAAAGGAGCTGGGGACAACATGGTGTGAGAAGACCACATGGGACCAAAGACCTGAATTCAAATCCTAACTCTCCTATTTTAAAGCTCTGACTTTCAGAAAGTGAGAATAAATCTCTCTGGTCTCAGTTTTTTAATCTGTAAAATGGGAATGATAACAATAGCTGCCAAACCTATCTTCCAGAGTTGTATAAGGCTCAAATGAGATCAGGTCAAGGAAATGGGGAAGGAGCCTAATGGCCGAATGTGTCCATGCTGGCAGTGGGCTAAGCATTTTATGTGCACCATCTCCTTTAATCCCATAAGGACTATATTATTACCTGCACCCCACAAATGAGAACATTTGCAGAAGTAAATTTTCCAAAGATCCCACAAGTCATTAGTAGGTAGAATTTAAATTTAAGAGCACCTGACTTTTTATACAATATTTAATAAAATACCATAAAAATGTAAGGGGAGTTTTTATCTAGGAAATTTATATGTGAAATTTCTGGGCCCTTCTTCCCACTTCCCTTGCTCTTTGCCCTAGACCTCAGATTCTCTCTCCGACAAAAGCCCCCAATTCTGGGTCCTGGAAAGTTCCAGTATGAGTTGTCTAGATGTCTCTGTAACCTGAAGTGAAGGGGCCTTCTCATGGGACTGCCTGTCTTCCTAATTTCTCTCTAGAGGCCAAGTGAATCACTTTCCCTTCTAAGGGAATTCCCAACACCAAGGAGCTGAAGAAGCCTGTGGTTTCTGGGAGCAGAGATGTTCTCATAGTTGCCAAAGCCACATCACCTACAGGCTCCATTTAGGATGGACCTTACTGTTCCTATTATGGACCACTATAACCATTCTTCTTACAATGCCCCTGAATGCCCATCCGAGATGGACTCCCAGGATGGATAGACCAGTTGTCAGTCCCAGTGTAGAATTCTATTATGTTCTATTATGCATTCCCATCTGATATGGTTTGACTGTGTCCCCACCAAAATCTCATCTTGAATTCTCATGTGTTGTGGGAGGAACCCCGTGGGAGGTAATTGAATCATGGGGGCAAGTCTTTTCCATGCTGTTCTCATGATAGTGAATAAGTCTCACGAGATCTGATAGTTTGGAAAAAAGGAGTTTCCCTGCACAAGCTCTCCCTTTCTTTGCCTGCTGCCATCCAGGTAAGACATGACTTGCTCCTCCTTGCCTTCTGCCATGATTGTGAGGTTTCCAGCCACATGGAACTATAAGTCCAATTAAATCTCTTTCTTTTGTAAATTTCCCATTTTCGGGTGTGTCTTTATCAGCAGCGTGAAAATGGACTAATACTTCACCAATCTCTCAGAGCCCCTGAATTCCATGCCAGGAAAACAACTGCCTTCTCCATCTCCACCTGCTAGTCCCAAGGTATCTCAAACTCAAACCCTCTAAACAACCAAAGTGTCTCAGTCAATAGCATGACCTTTCACACAGGCACCAAAGCAAATTCCACAGTGTCTGACACATAGTAGGGATTCAATAAACACTTGTTAAGTTCATTCATTGAACAAAAACATTGATTGAAGGTCATCAGTGTGTCAGACATTCTTCTTGGAGCTGGGGATACTGTGGTAAACAAGTTAGATGAAGGATGAGAAGGAGACGAGAGATAAGTATGTAATATAACTTTGTGTAGTTTAAGTACAAAAAGAAAGTTACGCAGAATAAGGAGGTAGAGGGAGATGAGTGTGAAGTGGAGGGAGGGGTCTGTTTTAGATAGAGCAGTCAAGATAGGACCCTCTGAGGAGTGACGTTTGAGCAGAGACCAAGTTGGAGGAGGATATGAGATATTCAGATATTCAGAAGGAAAATATTCCAGGGGATGGCAAGTATGAAGGCCCTGAGACAGGACCAACTTGGAAGTTTGAGTACAAACAAGAAGGCCAAGATAGCCAGAGCAGAATGCACCAGGAGACAGACAGTAGGAGATGAGGTTGGAAAGATAGGCCAAGTAGGGTCCTGCGGGGCCCAAAGACCTGGGAAAGGACTAAGACTGGAAGTCTTTGAAGGCTTTGATCAGGGAGTGAAATGATCTGACTTACATTTTAGAAGATAATTATATCTTGTGACTAATGTATATTCTTATATAACACATATTTTCATGACTTGCATATATTCATATATTATAGATATTAATATATGTATAACTTACATATATTCCACTGTACATATCAAATATTACTTAATTTGGAATTTAAAATCTAAGTTTTAGCTCAAAATATTCAGAATGGAATACTAATTAGCCATGAGGCACACTTCTATTGTCAGTCTTCATATGACAGGGAAAATAATTTAAATATAAGTAGGCGCTAACTAGCTATAGTATATTCTGAATAAAGAATAGGGTCTGGATCTAGAATAATAGTCTGAAAACAGTTATGGTTCCTTGCAAGCCCATAAAAGGCCAATAATTTATTTCATAATCTTTGAATTCATTTCTTTTTTGCAAGATTGTTGACGAGTTCAAAAGAAAATATTACAATGTATTTTAAATGCCTTGAGAAATACTTTTTATGCTATTTTTTGAGCTGTGGTAAAAATATACATAACAAAATCTGCTATTTTAACTATTTTTAAGTGTGCAGTTCAATGGCATTAAGCCGTTTCACAGTGTTGTGCAACCACCACCATCACCCACCTGCAGACCTTTTTTTTTTGTCATGCAAAACTGAAACTCTGTAACCTATTAAACAATAACTCCTCATTCTCATTTCACCCCCAATCCTCTTTTAACTTTCCATCTCTGTGATTTTTACTAGTCTAGGCATCTCAAATAAGTGAAATCATAGAGTATTTGTCCTTTTGTGACCAGCTTATTTCACAATGTTTTCAAGGTTCATCCATGTTTAGCATGTGACAGAATGTCCTTCCTTTTTCAAGGCTGAATAATATCCCACTGGATGTATAGACCACACTTTGTTTATCCATTCACCTCTCACCGAACACCTGGGTTGCCTCCACCTCTTGACTATTATGAATGATGTTGCTATGAATGTGAGTGTACAATTATCTGTTCATATCCCTGCTCTCAATTATTTGGGGTATATCCTCAGAAATTGAATTGCTGAATCTATCTTTTAATTTATTTGAGGAATGATCAGACTGATTTCCACAGTGGCTATTTTACATTCTCATCAGCAGTTCACAAGGGTTCCAATTTCTCCACATCCTCAACAATACTTGTTATTTTCCGTTGTTGTTGGTTTTTTATCGTAGCCATCCTAATGAGCGTGAGATGGTATCTCACTCTGGTTTTGATTGTATTTCCCTAGTGATTAGTGACGCTGGACAGCTTTTTATGTGCTTGTTGACTGTTTGTATATCTTCTTTGGAAAAATGTCTATTCAAGTCCTTTGCCCATTTTTTAATCAGGTTGGTTTTTTGTTTTTGAGTTGTATGAGTTATTTATATGTTCTGGATATTAACTCCTTATCAGATATATGGTTTGCAAATATTTTTTCCCATTCCATGGGTTGCGTTTTCACCCTGTTGACAGTTTATTTTGATGACTAACAGTTTTAGGCCAGGTGCCATGGCTCACACTTATAATCCCAGCACTTTGGGAGGCTGAGGCAGGAGGATCACCTGAGGTTAGGAGTTCGAGACCAGCCTGGCCAACATGGTGAAACCCTGTCTCTACTAAAAATAAAAAAATTAGCCAGGTGTGGTGCCACGCACCTGTAGTCCCAGCTAACTTGGGAGGCTGAGGCAGGAGACTCGCTTGAACCTGGGAGGTGGAGGTTGCAGTGAGCCAAGATCATGCCACTACACTCCAGCTTGGGCAACAGAGCAAGACTCCGTCTCAAACAAACAAACAAAACACAGTTTTAATTTTTGTATAATTTACCTATTTTTTATTTTGTTGTCTAAGCTTTTTGTTTCCCACCTAAGGAATGTTTTTTAAATTATTCTGACTGCCATTTTGAAAATTGACTATACTGGATCAAGAATGAAAACAGAGAGGAAGTATCTATAATGACAGAGGAAAGTTTATAGGATTATGGACTAAAGTGGTCTATAGTAGGGATGGAGAAAAGTAGATAGATTTTGGGATACGTTTTGAAGATAAAATAGATACAACCTGATTAGTTGGATGAGAGATACAAAGAAAAAAAAGAATAAAGAATGACTCCTACTGTTTTGGCCCGAGCTGCTAGAGGACTGGTGGTACCATCATGAGATGGCAACAATTAGGGAAAGAGCTGATTTATAGAAGATTTTATCATGTTTTGTGGAAGCTATCATATATCCAAATAGAGTTGTCTGACAAGTATCTGGATAGATATACAAGCCTGGAGTTAAGAGGAAAGAACCATGTGGTAGATTTGGAATTCCCTTGTTATCTATTGCCACAATACTGCATAACAACTATAAAACCCTAATTGCTCATGCATGGAGAAAGGCTGACTAGATAGCTTTGACAATCTTGGCTAAACTCACACATCAGGGAGTCAGCTAGCTGGCTGTTTATCCAAGCCAGCCTCACCTCTCTGCTTCACATATCTCCCATCCTCCATAGACTAGTCCAACGATGTCTTATGGAATTGACAGAACTGCAAGAGATAAAGACCAAGCCTAATTGTCCAAGCGTTTTTCAAGCCTCTACTTGCATCAAATTTGCTGATATTCCACTGGTTAAATCTAGTCACAGGGCCTCGCCCAGAGACCAGAGTGGGGAAGCATTGCAAAGCTACTTGGCAAAGAGGTGAAGAAATGGAGCCACTTTTGTAGTTGCCACATCACAACTGTGTAGAGATTGTATTTAATGCCTTGGGACTAACAGGAAAGTATAGAAGATGCAAAGACAGATGACCACTATCTGTCTTTGCCAAGAATCAAAGAGGATAATGACCGGCACCATCCTCTGAGACTTAACTCTGATGGTCTGCATGTCTTATCTGGACTACTTGCTGTAAGAATGGAAACAGCAAGATCTTAGGATGATTTGAAGAATGACTAGATTCTGTCCTAGGCTGGTAGGTGATAGAGTTTCTGAGACATGTTCAGATTCAGATAACTTTTAAAGGTCAAGCTAATAGAACTTTGATGGAGTATGACAGACAGGTAAGAAACAAGGAGATTCCTAGGTTTCTTGCCTGAACAATGAGGAGCGCCATTACTAGGACGGGAAAAACAGAGAGAGGACAGGTTTGGCACATAAAACAAGAATACGGTTTTGGAACATGGAAGTTTGAGATCCCAGTGGAGCTGCTTGGCAGGTAATTGAATATGAGAGTGTAAAGTTCAGGGAAAAGTTTAAGTTTAGAGATATAACTTTAACAGCTATCAACAAATGAGGCTATTTAAAACCATGTGAATGGAAGAGATCACCTAAGTTACGATGCATGTAAAGAAAAGATGATGACAGTCTAACCAATTAACTGTGTTCTACTCCTTGACCTCTCCATCTGGTAGACACCCACTACCTTCTTCATAGCTCTCAAATGTGGACCCTCCTGTGTCATTCCTACAATTCATACTGTCTTAGTCAAAGTCTTCATCTTTCACCTAGACCACTGCAATTGCTTCCAACTGGTCTCACTGTCTCCAAGGTCACTTCATTAGCTCATTCTCCATATACAGTCACCAGGGGAGATCTTTGTCACAGCAATCTATTTTTGCCACTCCTGCTTTAAAAGCTTAATACAAACTCAATCATGAATGGATCAATCTGACATCATCTGAATTCAGTGACTAAAGGTAACATCACTAATCATGGAACAAATGTGATTCTGCAGGAAACACATCGCACCACTGATGAAGTTTTCCTGCCAAAAGAGAGAATCTCATCTGATCAAGCCTCTAGCTCTAACTACTAGTGCGTAGAAAGTAAGGGAGTTAGAGGAGCTTGTAGTACCATGAGGGGACAATTAGCCAAATCCAAACTTTGGGAGACAACAGGACAACCTAGTTTCCTAAAACAATAACAAAATTTAAGCGGGGGGAACTATGGGGGGAAATGTGGAGAATGTAGATTAAGAGAGAATCAAGAGATGAACCATCCACATGCCGTATGTGCACTGTGTTTGGATTCTGATTTAAACAAATCAACTGTAAAAAGACATGTTTGAGACAGGAAAAATTCAACATATGCAGTATTTTAAATGCTATTAAGGAATTTTTGTTTATTTTCTTGGGTGTGAAAATGAAACAGTGGTTGTATATTTTAAAAGAAATTATCTGGTATGTTTTTATGGCTATATTTTTTTAAAAAAAGAAATTATATTGAAATGTCCATGAGTACTGGATTTGCTTCAAGATACTCCAGAAATTAAAAAAGAAATTTGGCCAAACATGGTGGCTTGCACGTATAATCCCAGCACTTTAAGAGGCCAAAGAGGATCGCTTAAGGCCAGAAGTTCAAGACCAGCCTGGGCAACATAGTGAGACTCCATCTCTAAATTTAAAAATATAAGAAAATTTTAAAAAGAAAATTGAGAGAAACCATGAAACAAAAATGGGAGAAAGTTGGTAGCTATTAAAGCTGGGTATGGGTACACAAGGCTTCATTGTCCTATTTTTGTGTGTTTGAAAATTTTCCATTATAAAAAGCAAAAAAAGGAAAAATCATAACACATGTAGCAAGTCAAACTGAGAGGTGACAGCATGCTGGCAGTCCTCACAGCCCTTGCTTGCTCTCGGCACCTCCTCTGCCTGGGCTCCCACTTTGGCGGCATTTGAGGAGCCCTTCAGCCCACCACTGCACTGTGGGAGCCCCTTTCTGGGCTGGCCAAGGCTGGAGCCCACTCCCTCAACTTACAGAGAGGTGTGGAGGGAGAGGCGCGAGCGGGAACCGGGGCTGTGTGCGGCGCTTGTGGGCCAGCTGGAGTTTCGAGTGGGCTTGGGCTTGGCGGGCCCCACACTCAGAGCAGCCGGCCAGCCCTGCTGGCCCCAGGCAATGAGGGACTTAGCACCCAGGCCAGTGGCTGCGGAGGGTGTACTGGGTCCCCCCAGCAGTGCCAGCCCACCGGCGCTGCGCTCGATTTCTCACCGAGCCTTAGCTGCCTTCCCGCGGGGCAGGGCTCCAGACCTGCAGCCTGCCATGCCTGAGCCTCCCACCTACTCCATGGGCTCCGGTGCGGCCCAAGCCTCCCCGACGAGCAGCACCCCCTGCTCCACAGCGCCCAGTCCCATCGACCACCCAAGGGCTGAGGAGTGCGAGCGCACGGCGCGGGACTGGCAGGCAGCTCCACCTGCAGCCCTGTTGCAGGATCCACTAGGTGAAGCCAGCTGGGATCCTGAGTCTGGTGGGGAGGTGGATAGTCTTTATGTCTAGCTCAGGGATTGTAAATACACCAATCAGCACCATGTGTTTAGCTCAAGGTTTGTGAGTGCACCAATCGACACTCTGTATCTAGCTGCTCTGATGGGGCCTTGGAGAACCTTTATGTCGAAACTCTGTATCTAACTAATCTGATGGGGACGTGGAGAACCTTTGTATCTAGCTCAGGGATTGTAAACACACCAGTCTGCACCCTGTGTCTAGCTAAGGGTTTGTGAGTGCACCAATCTACATTCTGTATCTAGCTGCTCTGGTGGGGCCTTGGAGAACCTTTATATCTAGCTCAGGGATTGTAAACCCACCAATCAGCACCCTGTCAAAACAGACCACTTGGCTCTACCAATCAGCAGGATGTGGGTGGGGCCAGATAAGAGAATAAAAGCAGGCTGCCCGAGCCAGCAGTGGCAAGCGTCTCAGGTCCCCTTCCACGCACGCTGTGGAGGCTTTGTTCTTTCACTCTGCAATAAATCTTGCTACTGCTCACTCTTTGGGTCCATGGTGCTTTTATGAGCTATAACACTCACCACGAAGATCTGCAGCTTCTGTCCTGAAGCCAGCGAGACCAAGAGCCCACCAGCAGGAATGAACAACTCCAGACGCGCTGCCTTAAGAGCTGTAACACCCACCGCGAAGGTCTACAGCTTCACTCCTGAGCCAGCGAGACCACGAACCCCCCAGAAGGAAGAAACTCTGAACACATCCGAACATCAGAAGGAACAAACTCCAGACGCGCCACCTTAAGAGCTGTAACACTCACCACAAAGGTCTGCGGCTTCATTCGTGAAGTCAGTGAGACCAGGAACCCACCAATTCCGGACACAAAACGTGAAGCTGGCTCTATCTTCATTTCAGTCTTTTCTCTTTCAGCCTCATAACATGTTATATTCCAGATACTCCAAAATTAACAGTTATTCAATAAAATATATACATGATTTTAGTAATGCATACTTTAACAAGATGTTAATTAATATCTATTTTGGGTTTTTTTTAAAGTCAGACATATTCAAAATGCCCACAACTAACACCAGTCTATTGCTGACAACAGTCTGTAACAGAGCAGCATTTATTTTGTGTTCTTAATGCATACATTTTATTGGAGCACTGTATACCCCATTTTCTGAACACCTATCCAATCCTCTTTCATATCTCCAAACCTTTCCTCATACTGTTTCTGCTTTCTGGGTGCCATTCTTCCACTTCACCACCTGGAAAGCTCCTCCAATGTCCATCTCAAATGCCAGTTCCTCCATGACCCTTCCTATGACCTCTCCTCCTTGACCCTCATCTGCCATTGTAAGCAGGGTCAGCTGCTACCTCTTCTGTGCTCCCCGACTTTATCACCACTCTAAGTCATGTCAGCTGCCTCGCCAGCTAGATGGAGAACTCTTTGGTGTGTATATCACCCAACCCTAGCACATGGTAAATGATTAATAAATTCTTGAAGATAAAATGAGGACGGGAGGGAAGAGAGAAGGAAGGAAGGAAAGAGGGAAGGAAGGAAAGAAGGAAGGGGAAGGGGAAGAGAGGGGAGGGAAGGAAGGATTGGTTTCACCTCTCTTCCTCCCCTATTCTAATTGCAGAGACTCCTCACATAGTACCTGTGTCCTCTGAGGGCCCAGAAGCACTTCATCCCTTATTGCTCATATCAAGCATCGAAAGGAACCTACTGCCCACCCAGCTCATGCCCCACCAGGGTGGACAATATTTAAGCAGGCGTAAGCTTCCTACATAGAACTCACATTTCTTCCCCTCCTCCAATCCCAAAACGAAGAGTAATGAAATGGAGAGAACTCAACCTCCAAGTTTCTAAAGAGCTTTGGGGATTTTTTTGGCCACCACCCAGTACCCCATAAAAGAGGGCAGGCAAAGTCCTATAACCTTTTTCCTAAGAGCTCCCACTTGGGAAGGCCTCCAGCAGAGTATTTTGGTGCCTTGCAAAATCCAAGGCCCTGATAGAAGCAGGAAATGTGATTATGACCACTCTCTCTGGCAATTACTGGCTCAGGCACTCTAATAGCTCTTAGCAAAAAATTACCCGTCCATCATGATGAAGACAGAAACAGAAGTTACAAATGAGTGCCAACCGCTGCAGCACATTGCCTGCAAGGTTAACCTTTGGGATCCCGCAATCTGTGACCCATACCTCTAATAGCTGGGAAACCTGAGGTTCCAAAAGGCGCCAATGCCCACACCCCCAGAGGTTGCTCCTACAACTTTCCCAGAAGAGCTGTGTGCTCTTCAGTTAGGTGACTGCCTCTGGTTTCCTATCTAAAGCCACTCCTTTACAGGACAATTCTGCGGCCACAGATTGAGGTTGAATTCCCACTTAAAATGTGATTATATCCCAAGGGTAAGTGTAAATCTACTTGGCATGGCCCACCACCCTCCCAGAATCTAAACATGGCACTTCTTCCCAGTTATATTTGGTTCCAAGAAAGAAACTTCCTTGCATTTTGGTTTATCAAGAAAACATAAAACTAAACTGATACACAGAGAGAGTGGGGTGCAGAAGGGTGCACATTCAAACTGGATTTTTCTTGAGTTGTAAGGAAAGAGGATAAATCCCCAAATGTCCTAAACATGTGTTGAAATAGCAAGTGACTTTAGAAGTCATCCTACCTCTCCAACACAGTCCCCAGTCCCCAAGGCATGTGAGCCATTTGCATTCTGTAGGAACCCCCAGCTAAGGGAGGCAGAATAGAGGCATGATTAAGAGCAGGCCCTGATAATCAGACAAACCGGGTCCAAATACTGACAACATCCCTTATTAGCTGTGGGTCTTGGGAGAGTGTTTCTTCCAACTTGATGACTGATCTGCCAAGTCTCTTTTTTTAACTCCCTTCTCTGGGTTGTCAGGAGAGTTAAATGAGACGATGTGTAAATTACCCAGTGCCTAGCACGTGGTAGCCATAGGGTACTCACCCCGATGAGTAGTTTCTGTGATTAGCCCAGAGGAACAACAAAAGCTGAGACTGACTGACTTATTACTTCTTCAATAACAGCACTGACTCAGTGCCAGGCACTGTTCCAAGTGCTTCAGTGCACCATGCTCACTCATGCAATCCTCATAACAACTGGAAGAGGTAAATACCGTTATGATTTCAATTTTATAGATGTCAAAACTGAGGCACCATGATGGCAAATATTTCTCTCAAGGTCCATAGCAAATCAGTGACAGAATCAGGATTCAAGCTCAGGCATCTGGCTCTAGAGTCCAGCTCAAAGCCCCCACATCCACTACATCTAGTAGAATACCCCAGCAACTAGTGATTGCAGAGCCATGTTCATGCCATCAAGCACATTAGCACACCTGTCCCACTGACCTATCTGGTGAAAACAAGCTCACCAGCCAATGAATGGGCCTCCCCATGCTGTCTTGCTGCAGAGATATCAGAACTGCTTGGCATTTTTCTTGTTGCTTTTTATTAGGTATTTCATTTGGTATCTTCATTTGCCTAGAGTGTTCACCATGATGTTCTGAACCTTCCTATAGTTATTTCCCTCCTGGCTTTCTCCTTCTGGGTAATTCTCTTTTGGCATCAAGACTCAATTCAAACATCAGTTTCTTCTGGAAGTCTTCCTGCTTGATTAAATGCCCTGGCTCCTTGCTTTCACAGCACCCTCAGCAAACATCTAACAGAAGCATTTATTGCATTGAATTGTCATGGTTGGTTGATGTCTCTGTCACCACCCCTCTGAGCTACATGCTCTGTGAGGGCAGGGTTAGTATTTTATTCCACTTGGTGATCCAACCAACATGGGTTCCTACCTCTAGTAAACGTATCAGTACATATGTACAATCAAATGAGGGCCTTGTACCCTCCATAGTTTTTGGTGAAGGGACTTCAGAAACACTGTGTTGACAGTAATCTTGCTGTACTACCTAGTCCAATATTTTAAGAACGCATGTTGATCGAGAGCAACAATAAAATATTTCTGTATTCCTGTCTAGATAAAAGAGACTGCCCCCAGCCTCTTCAAGAGAGAAAGGTTAAAGAGAAGGAGAAATGGAGAGGAGGTCTCTTTCAATATGTCAAAATACTAGTACAGATGCTGCACTTAAAAAAATCAACTATAAAAAGAAATGAAGTACCAATACATGCTACAACTTGGATGAACCTCAAAAACATTATGCTAAGTGAAAGAAGCCAGACATAAAAGACCAACATATTGTATGATTCCTTTTATATAAAATATCCAGAATAGGCAAGTCCATGGAGACAGAAAGCAGATTAGTGGTTGCCAGGGGCCGGGGGTGGGATAGGGAATGAGAAAGGATTATTTAAAGGGTATTTTCTGGGAAGATGAAAAAGTTTTGAAACTAGAGAAAGTCATTGCCCAACATTATGAATGCACAAAATGCCACTGAATTGTACACTTTAAAATGGTTAATTTGGGGCAGGGTGTGGTGGCTCATGCCTGTAATCCCAGCACTTTGGGAAGCTAAGGCAGGTGGATCACCTGAGGTCAGGAGTTCAAGACCAGCCTGGCCAACATGGTGAAGCCCCGTCTCTACTAAAAATACAAAAATTAACTGGGCATGGTGGCATGTGCCTGTAATCCCAGCTACTTGAGAGGCCGAGGCAGGACAATCGCTTGAACCCAGGAAGCAGAGGTTGCAGTGAGCCGAGATCACACCATTATACTCCAGCCTGGGCGACGAAAGCAAAACTCTGTCTCAAAAAAACATAAATAAATTAAAAATAAAATGGTTAATATGGCTGGACATGATAGCTCATGCCTGTAATCCTAGCATTTTGGGAGGCCGAAGCAGGAGGATCACTTGAGGCCAGGAGTTCAAGACCAGCATGGGCAAAAAAGTGAGGTCCCATCTCTATAAAAAATAAAAAATTAACCTGTGCATCTGTAGTCCCGGCCATTCAGGAGGCTGAGATGGGAGGATTGCTTAAGTCCAGGAGGTCAAGACTGCAGTGAGCCATGATTGTGCCACTGTACTCCAGCCTGGGTGACAGAGTAAGACCCTGTCTCAAAAAAAAAAAAAAAAAAAGATTAAGTTTATACTATGTGGATTTCACCTCAATTTTTTAAAAAATAAAAGAAAGGATCCCCAGACCCACCCTAAGAGGCTTGTTCATGCAACTGTGAGCTTGTCAAGTATAGGGAGCCCACCCTATGCCTGCCCTGGTGTCCAGGGCAGTGTCTAGGGCAGGAGACACAGGGCAGAGGCTGCAGAGATAGGCTCTACTCCCAAGAGATAGGCTCGAGGACACCCGGAGGGCATTCTTGGGACTCCCTTCCTGGATATGATTACCATAGCTGAGTGCAAAAATATTAGGTGAGAAAAAAAATACAGGGCCAGGGACAAAGCACTCTAAGTGCCCCAGCTTAATACAGACTTTGCCCAATAGTCTTAAAATCAATGTGGCTGTCACTTAGCTTGTGAAGGATCATCCTCTTGGGACAAGACACATTACTATGGGCCTGGCACACCAGGAGGGAGAAGGATCTCTATCCAAGTGTTTCAAAAGGCTGCATTGCTCTGAACCAGCCCCTGCCTTTCTGCCCTCACTCCTCTGGCCTGAGAGACCCTAGCCCAGGGGTGACCTGCCAACTTGCAAACTTCTCCAAAGCCAGGAGCTTATGTTGCAATTTAAAGGCAATGTTCTTCATTTCTCTTCTAGGAAGCTTTGCAAGTGACCTCCTGTGTATCAGGGAGTCCAATAGAAGTCTGAGGTTTCTCCTGTTTAGGTGCCATTTAAGCTAGGGAGTTGAGACAAGCAAAAAGAGTGATTATAGACCCCAAGGGCCAGGACATCTAAAGTAGATACCTGTGCCCTGGCGTGGTGGCTCACACCTGTAATCCCAGCACTTTGGGAGGCCAAGGCAGGTCGATCACTTGAGGTCAGGAGTTTAAGACCAGCCTGGCCAACATGGTGAAACTCCATCTCTACTAAAAATACAAAAATTAGCTGGGCATGGTGGTGCATGCCTGTAATCCCAGCTACTCAGGAAGCTGAGGCAGGAGAATCACTTGAACCTGGGAGGCAGAGGTTGCAGTGAGCTGAGATGGTGCCACTGCACTGCAGCCTGGGTGACAGAGCAAGACTCTGTCTCAAAAATAAATAAATAAATAAAAATAAAATAAAATAGATACCTGCCAAGTTGTCCACAGCTGACACTCCCTTTCTTCCCCACCTTCAATCCACATGGCAGAAATGGACTCCCAGTCACCATCTTTGCTCAGAAACTTAACTCACCCACCTTGGCCATAGTCGATTGAACCAAGGGTGAGCACATGACTTTAGCTAGCCAATCAGAGACATCCCTCTGAGAATCTGGGATTGAAACCATAAGACAGAACCCGATTGTTCCACAAAACTGCATGTATAGATATAAATTTGAGAGCTCATGGACAGCCACTGTTTTCTAGTCTATGGTCTGGTCTGTGGTCAGCTGTTCTTAAAATGACTCCTAGTCATCTACACCTCCTGGTATTCACACTCTTGTGTAATTTCCTCTCCTTGAGTGTAGGCTAGACATAGTCACTTGCTTCTCACAAATAGAACATGGAAAATGTGATATCACCTCCGAGATTAGAAAGTAAAAGGCTGTCATTTCTATCTTGCTCCCTTCTCTCTGGCTCTTCTCACTTGCACTGATGAAGCAAACTGCTATATTGTAAGGCGAGGCCCACATGGCCAGGAACTGAGGATGGCTTCCAGCCAACAGCCAGCAAGGGGCTCTTGGTCTAACAACTGTCCAGGAACTAAATCCTGCCAACACCATGTGGTGAGCTTAGAATCAGATCATTCCCCAGTTGAGCCTTGAGATTACTACGGTTCCAGCTCACACCTTTTATTGCAGCCTCTGAGAAACAGAAGACCCTGCTAAGCCTCACCTGGATGCTCAATCTACAGAAACTATGACATTCTTAATGTTATCTTCAGTCACTAAGTTTTGGGGTGATTTGTTACACAGCAACAGATAACTAATACATAGTCTAAGGTTAAAGAAAAGGGAAGCCACGCTGAAAAGAGAAGACAATAGAGCAGATGCACATAGGGAAGGAGAAATGAAAGACAGAGGGAAAGCTGGAAGTCAGAGTTCTCTGTGGATTGGATTGATGTGGCAAGACCAATTAGAGGCAATTGCTGTCATTCAGGCAAGAGATGATGGTAGCAGATGTAATGCCTATTTCTGCGAGAGAAGACTAAGGGAGGAAAATGTTCAGGGAGAAAACCAAGATATCAGTTTTATTTCAATATATGGTCAGTTAATATACAAAAGCATGACATAGCAAATGCATAACGAACTGTGTTGGTACTTCTCTAATACTACAAAGATGAGGAAGACAAGATCCTTTTCCTCAAGGTACTCACAGTTTATGGGAGGGCAGGCAAACATGCAAAATGTATTCTGTAGTTCATTTGACCTGTGAGCAAAGTGTTATATGTTAAAAAGAAAAGGAAGTGCTTTATTGTGCCTGGGAAGACAGAGAAGCTTCTCAGGGAGTGACAGGAATGTGCACACTGATCACACCTATGGAAAAATACATTTCATGCAGTGGCAAGGATATAAAGGGAATTCAGAGTAATAAAATGAATACAGTTCTATATTCCTTGTATTCTTTCTTGTCTTCAGGGCATAATAAAACAATTCATAATTCATTCTTTAATTCAGGGTAACATAAAGGTCTTAGATCAAAGAGTAAAGTGAGGTCCTATTAGGCAGTTTGGAGAGTTCCATGTAGCCTTTGCCCACTTTGGAAAAACAGATGAAGGCACAAGTTTTCACGGAGAACAGTAGCCTTAGGTGAGTCACAGTTACGAGTGGAGGCTCTGGAGATAAACTTGGCTGCTCTCTGTGTACCCTGACCCTGCCATTGATCACCTATGAGACTTTGGCCAACTTACCTCTCTAAGCCTCAGTTTCCTCATTGTAAGCTGGTGATGATGATTTTTGTCAAAAGATTAAATTTAATAGTATTGCAGTGTTTTTCCAATTGGGATCCACAAATACATTTTCTGAGTCTTATGGATTTTTTAACTACATTTTTTAATATGAGGTTTTCATTTGGAGAGCAGGCTAAATAATCTAATATTAACACATTGCAGATCATCTGAATGACTACCTCATAACTAAGTCCTGCTGGGAGATTTAAGTATCAAAGTTTTCAAAGGCATTTGCACTAGTGTTGGCACCAGCAACTACTATTTTTATGACCTTGGGATGTTAATGAGAGACAGATTTAATATGTAAATGTGCTAATATCTTAATATGTTAAAAGACAGAGAGTTAATATGTAAATACTGCTTTGAGTCAACAATAGGCCAAATGACGTGATAGCACACTGTACAAATGAAGCCTTCAGGGTGGGGCAGTGGTTAAGCAGAGGAATTAATGGGAGAATTGAGTCATCACTCAGCATGAGGAAGCATTGATATGGCAAGAAAAAACCCCACACCACAGTCAAACACTGCAATTCACAGTTGAACAGCTATTTAGTTTCAACAAACATTGTCATCTGTCACATTAAATAAATGATGTTGATTTGCATTGTTTTGTGCCCTACTTTTGTTTGCATTTAATTTATAAATTTCATTTGGTTTTATAGTTGTTTAAGCACTGTAAGCATAAGAAGTTTTGACCTAGCAGTGTGTCAATACTTATTAGTTTTGTTTTGTTTTTCCATAGGTCTACATCAGTCCAAAGTGTGTCAATACATATTTAAGGAACAAATAATTTTTAAAATACACTTTAGCAGCCCATGAAAGAATACTTTTCCTTTTAAAGGAGGCCACATATGAGTTAATTTGGAGAAACACACAATAAGCCACATAAAGCATTCAGCATGGTGTGTAGAAATGGTAATTATTATTAAATATTTGAGAGAACACTAGAGTTCCAGTCCCAGGGAAGATCAAGTAAACACATTTCATCCTATTTCTCTTATCGAGTGTAGCTACAAATCTTAGAATGTATGGAGCAGCTATCTCATTGCTTGTGAGTTTACCATTTTTTCCAGTTAGTATTCCCCAGCCTGAACTTAATGTAGCCCAAACCTCAGAAGAAGCAGTGGGGCAGAGAGAGTGAGCTCCAGGAGAAGCCTCTTGGTCTGGCTAAGAGATCAAGAAATGGGGCTCCTAATGTTCAGTGAAAATGCAGAAATCTCCAGATTTTTAAATTTTTTCCCTCTATTATTTCACATTCCAGTTTGCCCCCCCACTGCCCCCTACAACCCACCACAAAAAAATCCAGTGGTAGCAACAGAATCCCAAAGAAATCAAAACTCAGAGGAAGGGGAACCTTCCTCTATGATTAATGAAGATGTGATCCTAAGAGAATGCAATGAATCCCCATTGCTTTTTTTCTCTCTATGTCCACCCACTGGTTGGCCTTAGGCATGGGCACACTTATAAAAGTGGGTAGCAAAACTGGATAGATAAAGCCCCAGATTTCTGCCTGGAGGATAGATAAGGGAGTCTTAAGAATCCAGATAATAATAAGGAGGTTGTGGAAAGGAAAGAAGTTAGGAAAGTGGCCCCATAAAATTGATTATAAACTCCTGGACTCACCCCTAAACTGTGGATGCATGGGTCTGATCTCAATCAGCATACCAAAGACAGTGAGCACTGAGCTAACAGTTAGACCAACATTCAGGTTCCAGACTAGCCACTGGGTAGCATACACATGGATGAGAGTCAAATAGCACACAAAGGATTTAACAATTAAATTGACATGGGAACAACAGCCCACAAAAAGTTAGTTGGAACTTGCAGCCTGAACCTGACCAAGCTACTAATTGCCTACTAAGACAAAAATATCAATGTTTTCCAAGGACTTGTAAAAGGGCCCAGAGAGGCAGAAGTTGCAGTGAGCCAAGATCACACTACTGCAGTCCAGCCTGGGCGACAGAGTGAGCGAAACTTCATCTCAAAAAAAAAAAAAAAAAAAAAAAAAAAAAAACAGGGCCCAGAGTCTCATAACGAAATATTCAAAACATTCAGGATACAATCAAAAATTACTTGACATGTGAAGAGCCAGAAAATGTTCAACTCATTTGGGAAAAGACAATCAATAGATGTCAACACCTAGATGACAGAAATGATGGAAATATCTGATAAAGACTTTAAGGCAGCTATTATAAATATGCTCCAATAAATAATCACTAATACTCTGGAAACTAATGTAAAAGTAGAAAGTCTGGGCAAAGAAATAGAAGACATTAAGAAAAATCAAGAGGAAAGTTGAGAACTTAAAAATACAATATGGCCTCAATAGCAAAATAGGGGTGACAGAGGAAAGAGTCAACAAACCGGAATGTAGATGAATAAAAAAATCCAAACTGAACAATAGATATAAACTATTTTTTTCAATGAGCAGAGCCTCAGGAGCCTGGAGGACACTACCAGAATGTCTTATATTTGTATTATTATAGTATAAAACAGAGAAAAGAAATAACATGCTGCTGAAAAACATTTGAAGAAATAATGGTTGAAAAGTTGTCAAATCTGGAAAAAGAAAAAACCTACAAACTCAAGAAACTCAGTAAACTGAAAACAGGATAAACCCCCAAAAACCATGACCAGACACATCATAATCAAATTGCTGAAAACTAAATGCAAAGTAAAAGTCTTAAAAGTTACCAGAGAAAAACACCTTATCTAAAGGACAGCAATAATTTAAATGACTGTGGATTTGTCATTAGAAACCATGGAGGCCAGAAAGAAGTGGCACACTATTTTTAAAGTTCTAACAGTAAATAAATGTCCACTCGAGTTTTCATATCCAACAAAAATATCCTTCAGGAATTAACGTGAAATAAAGACCTGCTCAGATAAAGAAAAACTAAGAGAATTTATTGCCAGCAGACCTACTCTAAAAGAATTGCTAAAATAAGTTTTTTGGAAAAAAAAAGAGAAATAATACTGATGACATTTTAGAACATCAGGAATTTTAAAAGAGCAACAGAATAGGTAAAAATCTGGTAGAGTATAATAAACTATTCTTCATTTCTTAAGTTCGTTAAAATACATAAAATGTCTTTGATGATGAAAAGCAAAATTATAACATCCTCTAGTGAGGCTTTCAATGTATGTACATGTACTACTAAGACAACTTGAAGATCAAATGGGGAGAATAAAGTGACTAATGCAGAAAGATATCTCCATTCCACCTGAAATGGTAAAATATAAACTCCAAGCAGTTTGTGAAGTTAAGTATGTACATTGTAATCTTCAAAACAATCATTTAAAATTATATAAAGACATAGACTCAAAAGAAAGAGATTAAAATGAAATACTAAAAACAATTTTTAAACCCTTAAAAAAAAGCAGGGGTAGAAAAGGGAACCAAAGTGTATGAGTTCTTTTTCATACTCCTGATAAAGACATACCTGAGACTGGGCAATTTACAAAAGAAAGAGGTTTAATTGGACTTACAGTTCCACATGGCTGGGGAAGACTCACAATCATGATGAAAGGTAAGGAAAAGCAGGTCACATCTTACATGGATGGCAGCAGGCAAAGAGAGAGAGCTCGTGCAAGGGAATTCTTCTTTTTTTTTTTTTTTTTTTTTTTTGAGACAGAGTCTTGCTCTGTCGCCCAGGCTGGAGTGCAGTGGCATGATCTCGGCTCACTGCAAGCTCCACCTCCCAGGTTCATGCCATTCTCCTGCCTCAGCCTCCCCAGTAGCTGGGACTACAGGCACCTGCCACCATGCCCAGCTAATTTTTTGTATTTTTTTAGTAGAGAAGGGGTTTCACCATGTTAGCCAGGATGGTCTTAATCTCCTGACCTCGTGATCTGCCTGCCTCAGCCTCCCAAAGTGTTGGGATTATAGGCATGAGCCACTGCGGCCGGCTGGGAATTCCTCCTTTCAAAACCCTCAGATCTCACGAGACTTATTCACTATTACGACAACAGCACAAGGAAGACTTGCCCCCATGATTCAATTACCTCCCACCAGGTCCCTTATCAGGGGAACCTGCCCCCAGTATTTCAACATAGGTTCTTTCTATTTTCCATAAGTGTTGGCTGGCTGAGAAATAAAGAGAAAGAATACAAAGAGAGGAATTTTACAACTGGGCCGCCGGGGGTGACATCACATATCAGTAGGACTGTGATGACTGCCCGAGCCTCAAAACCAGCAAGTTTTTATTAAGAATTCTAAAAGGGGAGGGGGTGTACAAACAGGGAGTAGGTACAAAGATCACATGCTTCAAAGGGCAAAAAGTAGAACAAAGATCACATGCTTCTGAGGAAACAGGACAAGGGCAAAATCAGGACTCTTGATAAGGGTGTATGTTCAGGGGTGCACATATTGTCTTGATAAACATCTTAACAGAAAACAGGGTTCAAGAAGAGAGAACCGGTCTGACCAAAAATTTACCAGGATGGAGTTTTCTGAATCCTAGTAAGCCTGAGGGTACTGCAGGAGACCAGGGCTTATTTCAGTCCTTATCTCAACTACATAAGACAGACACTACCAGAGCGGCTGTTTGTAGACCTCCCCCCAGGAATGAATTCCTTTCCCAGAGTATTAATATCAATATTCCTTGCTAGGAAAAGAATTTAGCGATATCTTCCCTACTTGCACATCCATTCACAGGCTCTCTGCAAGAAGAAAAATATGGCTCTTTTTGCCTGACCCCCTAGGCAGTCAGACCTTATGGTTGTCTTCCCTTGTTCCCTAAAAATTGCTGTTATTCTGTTCTTTTTCAAGGTGAACTGATTTCATATTGTTCAAACACATATGTTTTACAATCAATTTGTACAGTTAATACAATTATCACAGTGGTCCTGAGGTGATGTACATCCTCAGCTTACAGAGATAACAGGATTAAGAGATTCAAGTAAGACAGGCATAAGAAAGTATAAAAGTATTAATTTGGGAACTGATAAATGTCCATATTAAAATGAAATCACAATTTATGTTCCTCTGCCGCGGCTCCAACTGGTCCCTCTGTTTGGGGTCCCTGACTTCCTGCAACAGTCCCTCCCACAACACATGGGAATTCAAGATGAGATTTGAGTGGGGACACAGCCAAACCATATCACAAAGGAACAAAAACCAGAGGAAACAAAAAGAAAATGAGTAATAAAATGGCAGACCTAAATTGTAATTTATCATTAATTACATTAAATAAAAATGGTCTAAACATACCAGTTAAATTTTCAGAACTTTTTTTTTTTTTGAGACAGCATCTGGCTCTGTTGCCCAGGCTGGAGTGCAGTAGCACCATCTCAGCTCACTGAAATCTCCATCTCCTGGGCTCAAGCCATCTTCCCACCTCAGCCTCCCAAGTAGCTGAGACTACAGGTGCACACCACCGTGCCCAGCTAATTTTCGTATTTTTTGTAGAGATGAGGTTTCACCGTGTTGCCCAAGCTGGTCTAGAACTTCTGAGCTCAAGCAGTCTGCCCACCTTAGCCTCTCAAAGTGCTGGGATTACAGGCATGAGCTATCACCCACAGCCTAGAATGGATTTTTTGAAACCCGTGAGCCAACTGTATGCTGTGTAGAGAAATCTACTTCAAATATAATGATATAGGTAGGTAAAAATTAAGGTGGGGGGAAGATATATGATGCAAACATTAAACAAACAAAAAAAAGAAACAGTGGCAGCCATATTAAAATGAGACAAAAAAATTGCAGAAATGAAAAAATTAAAGACTCAGTTTATCAAAAAGAAATGACAGGCTGGGCATGGTGGCTCATGCCTGTAGTACCAGCACTTTGGGAGGCTGAGGCAGGTGGATCACAAGGTCAGGAGTTTGAGACCAGCCTGGCCAATATAGTGAAACCCTGTCTCTACTAAAAATACAAAAATTAGCTGGGCATGGTGGTGCGTGCCTGTAGTCCCAGCTACCTAGGAGGCTGAGGCATAAGAATTGCTTGAACCCCAGAGGCAGAGGTTGCAGTGAGCCGAGATCGCGCCACTGCACTCCAGCCTGGGTGACAGAGTGAGATTCCATCTCAAAAAAAAAAAAAAAAAGAAAAGAAATGACAATTCTAGAAGTGTTTCTAACAAGAGAGCTTCAAAATACTTGAAGCAAAAACAAATAATAACTGAAAGGAGAGGTAGGAAATTCTATAATTATAATTGGAGACTTGAATATTCTTCTCTTAATGATAAATAGAACTTGTAGATAGAAATTCAGCAAAAATATAGAAGAAAAGAATATTACCATCAACGACTGGATCTGACATTTATAGAACACTCCATTCAACAATAGAAGAATATACACTCTTCTCAATAGAATACTCTCCCAGAAGAATAGCAAAATACAGATTCTTGGAACATTAACAAAGACAGATGACACTGCAAGTCATAGAATAGACCTTAGCAAGTTAAAAATAACTGAAATCATACAAAGGATGTTCTCTGACCACAATAGAATGAAACAAGATCAGTAAGAGATAACAGGAAAATCTCCTGTTGGAAATTTTAAAATACACTTCAAATAATCTATAAGTCAAAGATGAAATCCCATGAAAAATTAGGAATTATTTGAGAGTAAACAAAAATGAAAATACAATATATCAAAATTTTTGAGATTTATTAAAGCAGTACATCAACAGAAATTTATAGTATCCAGTGATTATATTAGAAAATAACCAAGGCTCCAAGTCAATAATCTGTCTCCACAGTAAGAAACCAGAAAAAGAAGAAAAGAATAAATTGAAAGCAAGCAAACAAAAGGGAATAATAAAGAAAACATATTATCAAGGAAATTGAAAACAGAAAGATAAAGGAAATTAATAAAACCAAAATCTGATTATATGAAAAGATTGATCAAATTGAAAAGCCTCTAGAAAACCTGACAAAGGAAAAAAGAGAGAGAAGAGATACAAATTATCAATAACAGCACTGAAGAAAGTGCTATCATTATAGACCCTACAGACACTAAAAGGATAGGAAGGGAATAATACAAACAATTCTACATGCATAAATTTGACAACTTAGATGAAATGGACCACAATGCTTCAAAAACCACCAACTACCCTAACTCATCTTACATAAAATAGATAACCCAAATAGTCTTGTAACTATTAAAGAAATTGAATTTCTAGCTAAAATCTACCCAAAAATATAATCCACAAAGCTCGATGTTTTCATTGGCAAATTCCACCAAACATTTAAAAAAGAAATAACACTAACTCTAGAGGATCTCTTCCAGACAATAGAAGGGGGTGCATTTTGTCTCAGTTTTTGGAGCTCATATTACCCTGATACCAAAAAACCAAAGACAATACCAAAAAAGAAGGAGCAGGAAAAGAAAAGAAGGAAGAAAGACAAAAGAAAGCTAAAGACCAATAGCCCTCATGAGCATAGATGCAAAATATTCAAAGAATATTGCAAATTAAATCCAGGCAAATGTAGAAAGAATAATACACCATAAACAAGGGAAGCATATTCTGGAAATGCAAGGATGGTTTGATATTTAAAAATCAATGGATGCGATCCATCACATCAGCAGTCTAAGAAAGAAAAACCACACATTGGCATCAGTTGATATAGAAAAGCCTTTGATGAAACTCAACAAATGATCACGTCTTTTTTTAAAACCCCGGCAATCTAGGTATAGGGAAATTCTTAAGTCTACTAAAGAGCATCTACAAAAAACATACAGCTGATAGCATAATCAATGGTTAGAGACTGAATTATTTTTGCCTAAGATTGGGAAGAAGACACTCTCACCAGTCTGATTCAACATCATACTAGAAATCCTAGTTAACATAACAAAGCAAGGAAAAGAAATAAAAGACATGCAGATTTAAAAGAAACACAACTGTCTTTATTCATTCACAAACAACATAATTTCCTAGGTAGAAAACCCTAAGGAATCAACAAAAAACAAGCAAACAAAGAAAATTCTAGAAACAATAAGTGAGCTTAGTAAGGTCATAGGCCAGCAGGTCAACACACAAAAATCAATCACCAATCATATTTTGAGATACTGGCAATATAAAATTGGAATTCAACATTTAAAAAATATATACCATATACTATTGAAACCCCAAAATGAAATATCTAAGCATAAATTTGACAAAATATGCATAGGATCCACATGATGAAAACTACAAAATGCTGATGAAACAATTCAAATTTTGCCTAAGTAAATGGAGAGACAGACATACCATGTACACAGGTTGGAAGACTCAATACATAAAGATGTCCATTTTTCCCAAATTGATCTTTAATACAATCTCAACCAAATTTCTATTAGAATTGTTTTTTTATAGATTTAGGCAAGATAATTCTAAAATTTGTATGGAAAGGAACTAGAATAGCCCAAACAATTTTGAAAATGAAGAATAAGATTGTAGAAATCATACTACCCAATTTTAACACTTGCAATAAAGCTACAGTAGTCAAGACATGCTGTTACAAAGAAATACACACATACATATCAATGAAAAAGAATACAGTCCAGAAAAAGATCCACACAAATATGGCCAACTGATTTTTAACAAAGGTGCAAAAGCTATCCAATAGAGAAAATGACACTCTTTTTAGCAACTTGCATGGGAGCAACTGGACATCTATATGTTAAAAAAAAATGAACTTCAAATTAAACTTCATATTACATAAAAACTAGCAAATATTGTATATTATATATAAAAACTTGGTCACAGATATAAAATGTAAAACTACAAAATTTGTAGAAGACATAGGCAAAATCTTTTAGATCTGGAGTTAAGCAAAACATTCTTAGATATGACACCAAAAGCATAATCTATATTTTAAAAACTGAAAATTAGACTTCAAAATTAAAAACTTTTGGTCTGCAAAAGACACTGTTAGGAGAATGAAAAGACAAGCTATAGACTGGGAGAAAATATTTTGGAATTACATATTTAACAAATGACTTATATCCAGAATATATAAAGAATTATCAAACTCAACAATAAGAAAACAACACAATTTTTAAATGGAAAAAAGACTAGGACAAACATTTCACCAAAGAGGATATATGAATGTGAATAAGCGCACACACAAAACATGTTCAGCATCATTCACCCTTAGGGAAATACGAATTAAAGTCTTGGTAATATACCACTACATACCTATTAGAATGACTAAGATAAAATCTAAAAGTACTGATTTTTAACAAAAGTGCAAAAGCTATGCAATGGAGAAAGGACAGTCTTTTCAGCAAGTAGTGTGTGTATCAAAAATCCCAAGGGCTGATGGAAATTTGGAGTAACCGGAACTTTCACACCTTGCAATTGGAAATGCAAAATGGTGTGGCCACTCTGGAAAACAGTTTGGCAGTTTCTTATAAATTTAAATCGACACTTACCATATGATCTTGCAAATCCCATTTATTTGCCTCAGAGAAATGAAAACTTATGTTCACATAAAAACCTGAATACAAATGTGTATAGAAGCTTTATTCATAATTGCCCAAAACTGGAAAACATTTAACTGTCCTTGAATGGATAAACAAGCTGTGGTACAGCCGTGCAATGGAATACCACTCAGCAATAAAAATGAACAAATTATTCATACACACAATTTGAATGACTCTTAAAGGCATTATGCTGAGTGAAAGAAGAGAGTCTCAAAAGGTTACATATAATATGATTCCATTTATATGACATTCTTGAAAACACAAAACTATTGTGATGGAGAACAGACACTGAGTGCCGGGAGCAGAGGTGAGGGAAGAATGCGACAAGGAAGCACTAGCATGAGGAGCACTAGTCTTTATATTTTGAATTATTATTTTTAATGTACAAATCATAGTTGTGTACATTTATGAGATACAATGTGCTATTTTGATATATTTATACATTGTGGCATGATTGAATCAAGGTGATTAACATATTCATCATCTCACTTTTTTTTTTTCTTTTGAGATGGGGGTTTCACTTTGTCACCCAGGCTGGAGTGCAGTGGCACAATCTCGGCTCACTGCAACCTCCGCCTCCCAGGCTCAAGCAATCCTCCCACCTCAGCCTCCCGAGTAGCTGGGACCACAGACATGCGCCACCATACCCGGCTACTTTTTATATTTTTGGTACAGACAGAATTTCACCATGTTGCCCAGGCTGGTCTCGAACTCCTGAGCTCAAGTGATCCACCTGCCTCTGCCTCTCAAAGAGCTGGGATTACAGGTGTGAGCCACCATGCCCAGCCACCCCTGTTTATTAAAGCCACCGTGAACTGGTAAGTTTGTTCCTCCTTGCCCTAATTATTCGTAAGTGAAATAGGTACCTATGTTGTAGCTGTGATTAGAGCATTAAATGAGATAGTCAGAGGGCCTTCTGGACAAAGGCTCGAAAGTTTTTCTAGTTTCTCTGCAAAGTCCTTTTTTTTGGAGACGGAGTCTCACTCTGTCACCCAGGTTGGAGTGCAGTGGCGTGATCTTGGCTCACTGCAACCTCCACCTCCTGGGTTCAAGCGGTTCTCCTGACTCAGCCTCCCAAATAGCTGGGACTACAGGCATGTGCCACCACACCTGGTTAATTTTTATACTTTTGGTAGAGACAGAGTTTCAACATGTTGGCCAGGCTGGTCTCGAACTCCTGATCTCAAGTGATCCACCCACCTCAGCCTCCCAAAGTGCTAAGATTACAGCCCTGAGCCACCACACCCAGCCTTCACCACACTTCTTTTTGTGATGATCGTTGCACGAACCCATTTATGTGTTAAAAATAGAACGGTGCACACACAAAAGATCAACTTTACCATGTATTAATTTAACCTATGAGACAAACAAGTTTTATCAACTCAAAGCTAAGAATGCATGGCCTTGTAGCCCCTGTCTTTTTTTTTTTTTTTTTTTTTTTTTTTTTTGAAATGGAGTCTCACTCTGTTTCCCAGCCTGGAGTGCAGTGGCACACTCTCGGCTCACTGCAACCTGTCTCCTGGGCTCAAGTGATTCTCCTGCCTCAGCCTCCTGAGTAGCTGGGATTACAGGTGCACACCACCATGCCTGGCTAAGTTTTGTATATTTAGTAGAGCTGGGCTTTCGCCATGTTAGCCAGGCTAGTATTGAACTCCTAACCTCAGGTGATCTGCCCAGCTCGGCCTTCCAAAGTGCTGGGAGTACAGGCATGAGCCACCATGCCCAGCCATAGCCCCTGTCTTTATTATCCTTGCAAAAGGCCTGCAAGGTCCATCAGGTTATGGGCTGTTACCACACAGCAAGCTCCAGGGTTCAGACAATGATTGGAATAATTTTAGAAAATAAATTAATTGGAAGGTGATTCTTGGCATTAAAAAAAAATGATTTGTCACTTAGCCAAAGGTTCCCTTTGCATAGAGAACTAGCTAGTCCCCCTGAGAGCATAATGGCAGACTTAATGGTAAAGAAATCAAAAACTGTCCCTGTCCCTGTCCCTGTCCCTGTCCCTCTCCCTCTCCCCACAGTCTCCCTCTGATGCCGAGCCGAAGCTGGACCGTACTGCTGCCATCTCAGCTCACTGCAACCTCCCTGCCTGATTCTCCTGCCTCAGCCTGCTGAGTGCCTGCGATTGCAGGCGCGCGCCGCCACGCCTGACTGGTTTTCGTATTTTTTTTGGTGGAGACGGGGTTTCGCTGTGTTGGCCGGGCTGGTCTCCAGCTCCTAACCGCGAGTGATCCGCCAGCCTCGGCCTCCCGAGGTGCTGGGATTGCAGACAGAGTCTCGTTCACTCAGTGCTCAATGGTGCCCAGGCTGGAGTGCAGTGGCGTGATCTCGGCTCGCTACAACCTCCACCTCCCAGCCGCCTGCCTTGGCCTCCCAAAGTGCTGAGATTGCAGCCTCTGCCCGGCCGCCACCCCGTCTGGGAAGTGAGGAGCGTCTCTGCCTGGCCGCCCATCGTCTGGGATGTGTGGAGCCCCTCTGCGTGGCTGCCCAGTCTGGAAAGTGAGGAGCGTCTCTGCCCGCTCGCCATCCCATCTAGGAAGTGAGGAGCACCTCTTCCCGGCCGCCATCCCATCTAGGAAGTGAGGAGCGTCTCTGCCCGGCTGCCCATCATCTGGGATGTGGGGAGCGCCTCTGCCCGGCCGCGACCCCGTCTGGGAGGTGAGGAGCGTCTCTGCCCAGCCGCCCCGTCTGAGAAGTGAGGAGACCCTCTGCCTGGCAACCACCCCGTCTGAGAAGTGAGGAGCCCCTCCGCCCGGCAGCCGCCCCGTCTGAGAAGTGAGGAGCGTCTCCACCCGGCAGCCACCCCGTCCGGGAGGGAGGTGGGGGTCAGCCCCCACCAGGCCAGCCGCCCCGTCCGGGAGGGAGGTGGGGGGGGTCAGCCCCCCACCCAGCCAGCCGCCCCGTCCGGGAGGTGAGGGGCGCCTCTGCCCTGCCGCCCCTACTGGGAAGTGAGGAGCCCCTCTGCCCGGCCACCACCCCGTCTGGGAGGTGTACCCAACAGCTCATTGAGAACGGGCCATGATGACAATGGCGGTTTTGTGGAATAGAAAGGTGGGAAAGGTGGGGAAAAGATTGAGAAATCGGATGGTTGCCCTGTCTGTGTAGAAAGAAGTAGACATGGGAGACTTTTCATTTTGTTCTGTACTAAGAAAAATTCTTTTGCCTTGGGATCCTGTTGATCTGTGACCTTACCCCCAACCCTGTGCTCTCTGAAACCTGTGCTGTGTCCACTCAGGGTTAAATGGATTAAGGGCGGTGCAAGATGTGCTTTGTTAAACAGATGCTTGAAGGCAGCATGCTGGTTAAGAGTCATCACCACTCCCTAATCTCAAGTACCCAGGGACACAAACACTGCGGAAGGCCGCAGGGTCCTCTGCCTAGGAAAACCAGAGACCTTTGTTCACTTGTTTATCTGCTGACCTTCCCACGCTATTGTCCTATGACCCTGCCAAATCCCCCCCTCTGCGAGAAACACCCAAGAATTATCAATAAAAAAAAAAAAAAAAAAAAAAAAAGAATTGGTAGAAACTGGTTGCCTCCAAGAACTCAATGGCTGGAAAGTTATGGCGGCAGGAAGACTTTTTGCTGTATATTCTTTTGTGCCTTATGAATAATAAACCATGATAATATATTGCTTAAAAATAAAATATTTTATAATGTAAATTGAAAAAAAAGAAATCAAAAACTAAAACAATGGGAGCTTCTGCTTAATGAACTCAAGCTAAAATGATGCCATCCACAGTTCTAAAATTAGAAGATAAAGCAATAAGAAAACAAAATAAAATTTATCAAAATTTCAGGTCTACAGATTTTAAAATCCAGTTATTATCTACAGGATGTATTCAATAGATACTTGACCCAGCGGAAAGCACATGTGTGGTAGATGGAAAATCATCCAGCTAAGGCCTGAATTGCCTTCTCCCCAAAACAGAAAGAGAAAAGTGGAGTGACCCAGCTCCTCGGTTCCTTTTCCCCAGTCTCTCTCTTTCATCATTATTCCCAGGGAGCAGATCTCACAAATCTATGTCAAGACTGCAGAGAGGCCAGACATGGTGGCTCACGCCTGTAATCCCCACACTTTGGGAGGCCGAGGTGGGTGGATCACTTGAGGTCAGGAGTTCGAGACTAGCCTAGCCAACACAGTGAAACCCCACCTCTAATAAAAACACAAAAATGAGCCAGGCGTGGTGGGACATGCCTGTAGTCCCAGCTACTCGGGAAGCTGAGGCAGGAGAATCACTTGAACCCAGGAGGTGGAGGTTGCAGTGAACTGAGATCACACCATTGCACTCCAGCCTGGACGACAGAGTGAGACTCTGTCTCAAAAAAAATAAAGAAATTAAAAAAAAAAAAAAAGTCTTTGCAGAGAGAAACTAGAGAAACTTTCAGGTCTTTGTCCAGAAGGGCCTCTGACAATCTCATTTAATGCTCTAATCACAGCCACAACATAGGTACCTGTATCATTTAGGAATAATTTGGGCTATGAGGAACAAACTTACCAGTTCACACTGGCTTTAATAAATAGGTGTGGCTGGCATGGTGGCTCACACCTGTAATCCCAGCTCTTCGGGAGGCCGAGGCAGGCAAATCGCTTGAGCTCAGGAGTTCAAGACTAGCCTGGGCAACTTGGCAAAACCCCATATCTACCAAAAATACAAAAAAATTAACCAAAGGTGGTGGCACATGCCTGTAGTCCCAGCTACTTGGGAGGCTGATGTGGGTTTGAGTCCAGGAGGTGGAGGTTGCAGTGAGCCAAGATCGTGCCATTGCATTCCAGCCTGGGCAACAGAATGAGACCCAGTCTCAAAAGATTAATTAATTAAACAGAGGTCCATTCTTCTCACATAAAACATAGGCAGTCAATGGCTTTGTTTCAGCTGCCCTACAAAGGCAGGAGTATGGACAGGTGTCCCAACATTCTCTTGGTCTCTTGGTGATAAACTCAGCAAAGTTTCCCGGTAGGCAGCAGGGGGCAACCTAAGCAGAGAGACTCTTCTCACCCTCTGACTTCACATCAAGAAGGAGACTGGGGTCAGACAAAGCAAAAAGATACTCCTTGTCCTTCTTCTCTTACCAGGAGGGGAATCTTTCCCAGAACCACCTCGGAAAATTTCCTTTTTCATCTCATTGGCCAGAAATTATCACAGGATCACTCCTGGACCAGGAATGGAGCCCACGTCCCCCAGAAACTGTGGGAAGTGATATCTGAGCAAAACTGATCATCTGTTGCCAAGGAACACAGGAGCCAATAAACAGTGTCTGCCATGGTGTCGTTATTATTTCCTCCTTTTGACAGATGGGAAAACTGTGGCTTAGAAAGGACAAGTGACAAGGTCACCCAGCTGGTAAGCACTGAAGCCAGGATTCAAACCCAAAACTGTGTGACTGCCATGCCTGCACTCTGAATCTCTATGTGACAGTGCTTCTTTGGGATGAGGTTGAGGCTGTGATCAATCCCTTCATCCCCAGAACAGCAAGCCAGGAGGGCTAGCGGAGACTGTCATCAGTTGTTCTAGAGAGACAAGAACAACAGCCACACTGTGGATCAGTGTCTGGGGTGGCCTGCACCTGCTTCTCCTGACACAGATAGTACATCTGTGAAAGCTCTGTCTTCCTGTGGTTCCACCTGTCTGGGCCTCTTCCCACTGCAGAGCTGGGTAAAGAAGCTGGGCTGGAAAATTCTGCCCCTCTGGCTCGCTCCCTAACCCAGCCACCCTGGGCTGCTTCCTTGACCCTGTTGTGTGGGTTCTTCTCCCTGCTGATTTCTGCAGGGACCCTGACACCCAAAATAATACAAAAGGCGCCCTATATGACTCTACTGCTAACATATTTTCCCCTAAAGTGAAGGCGGCAGATGACATTTCAATGAGAAAATAAATTAGCAGGTAATAAATTTTCCATTCTTTCTCTGTGTTCCTACTGGGCCTTGAAATTAGCAAGAACCAACTGTCACATTAATTTCACTGTTGGGGCCAGCACTAAGGGTGACATCATAGTGCCCCTTGGGACCAGGATTCATTTGCCTGGGTTAGAGGTAGGCAAGGCTGAAGCCCTAACATGGGCCAGGTGAAGAAAGGGAAGCGGATACTCTTCATGAGCAAGTCCCATACAAAGTCCTTTGTGATTTGTTTCTGGGTTTCTGAAAAGGAAGGTGTTAGGTCTCTGAAAAGTTAAAAAAAATATAATGGTTTGGGCTGTGGGGGCAAGAACAGATTTCCAACACTTTGGTCCTGTTACTAAACACACTGCTTGTACCACCATTCCTCTTTCAGGAGGCCTTGTGGGGAAAGAACATCTTGTTGTATCTAAGTGATGGTTTCTGTGTTCCTAGAGAATTTCTGCAACATTATTGAGTGAGACCATCTTGGCGGACAGGAAAGGATTAGCAAGTCCTCGGATTACTTGAGCAATAAAGATATATTGCCATGGGCCTTTTCATTTAGAACTCAGTCTTGGTCAATATCAACATCTTAACGGCAAGTCAAATAAATCGCAGTATCAACCACAGTGGAAGTGTCAATGCCTGCTGCCAGCAACTTAGTTTATGGTGAATCAAGACCTCGAATGAGGCTTTAAATTTGCTGATGCTTTTTTCTGTGGGGTTTGTCGCGGCTCACCCAGCCAGATCGATTCGATGTGTCGTGCTGGGGTGGAGGAAAAGGTTTGTGGCTCTTAGAGTATTAGCAAGTTCATTTCACGCTGATGCAGCGACAGAGGCCGGGGAAGGTTTACAGAAGCCGCATTCATCAAGCCAGCTGGTCACCCACGACCTCCCTCGGGCTTGGAACAGAGAGGCAGAGAAGGGAGGGGACTGCGGCTGGCAATTCACAGAGAACACTGTAGCTTTCTTTGGCAGTGGGGGCAGGCAGTGAAGAGGGGACAGGATTTGGAGGCTCGGATGGCTCCCTTAGGACTGCCGTGGGATGTTTTCACAGCCTGCAGAGAGGAGCCAGATGTGGGCAGTGGCCTCGTTCACTTCAGCCTTCAGGAGCTATTTGGGGCTAAGGGCTTCTCCTTTCCCAGAGAGTTTGTGGCAGATTGACTACAAAAATGGCCCTAATCTTTCATCCCTCCCACAGCATTTGCAATGTGACTTGATAGTTCCTCTCATCAAGGGGTTCAGCCTATTACCCTGTTCTTTGAATCTAGGCTGCCTTGTCATTTACTTTGACCAATAGAATGCAGCAGAAGTGACAGCATGTCAGTTCCAAGCCAAGGCCTTGAGACCTTTGCCCACCTCTCTCTCTCTCTCATACACACACTCGCTCACTAGCTCCCCTTGCCTCCATCATAAGAACAAAAGCAACTAGACTTCTGGAGTATGAGCTAGCATGTGGAAAAGATCTGAATCACCCCAGCTGAGGTCATCCTAGACCAATCAGCCTCTGGCCAACCTGCCAACTGACCACAGATGCATGAGCAAGCCCAGCTGAGACCAGCTGAGCCCAGCCCAGATCTGCAGAAAGGGCTAGCCAGTCCATAAACCTGTGAGCCATGATAAATAATTATTGTTTTAAGTCAGTGAGGTTTGGGGGATAGTTTTCTATTGAGCGTTCTTGTGGCAATAGATAACTAATACAGAGTTCATCAGATTGTTTTCGTAACCAGAGCCATTCCCCTGGACTTTAGGGTTTCTGATTCTTTGAGGACCAAAATTCTACCAGCTGGCACTAAAAGCCTGAAGCTTGTATACACATGTGAGAAAAGCAACCCACAAGACCAGTCCGTCCCTTCCCCAAATAGACTGCCAGCAAAAAGGCTGCTGTCGTCATTCACATTCGCTCAGTTTAATTTCTTCTTAGGGATAAAGGTCATGATTTCCAAGACAACCAGCCAGCTTTAGTTCCAGGACTCTGGACAACACCACCTTTTTTTTTTTTTTTTTTCTGTAATGGATGGGCAAATGTCCATCTGGCCTCCACCTCCCCACTCTGCCTCTGAGTCACTGAACCGTTTGGATTAAGTGGCAGGGGCCAGCCATTTCAAGCCAAAAACATAAGTGTATCTGTCTTAGTTTTCTGTCACTGTCATAACAAACTACCACAAACTTGGTGGCTTAAACAACACGAATTTATTATCTAAGTGTTCTACGGATCAGAAGTCTAACCTGGGTCTCATTGGGCTGAAATCCAGGTGTCACCAGGGCTGCATTCCTTTCTGGAGGCTCCAGGGGAAAATCTGTTTCCCTGTCTTTCCAGCTTCCAGAGGCTGCCCTTCTTCCTTGGCTCATGACCTGTTTCCTTCATTGCCAAAGCCTGCAACAGTGGATCAAGTTCTTCTCACATCACATCTATCTGACCTATTGTTCTGCCTCGGCTGTTCCACTTTTAAGGACTTAGGTGATTAAATTGGACCCAATTGGATAATCCCAGATAATCTCACCATCTCAAAGTCCTTAACCTTAATCACATCTGCAAAATCTAATTTTCTATGTAAAGTAACATATTCACAGGTTCCAGGGATTAGGACATGGATATTTTTTGGGGGGTCCATTATCCTGACGACCACAATATTATTGAATCTTTGTATAACAAGAATTGAGAGAAAGGAAAGCTGTTCCTTTCTTGGACATCTCCATGGAATTGATGGGCCTACACCTGGAATTCTATAAAATGGGCTCATGTTGGAAAAGACAGGAGGGATGGAAATGAACCAGGGTCAATAAGACCCCATAATTCATCCACAAAGTTGCAAGGTTTCTCTCCCTCCATAAGATGGTGATCTTACTACTAAGGAAGCAGGATTTGGCTATCAGTTCAAAGGCAGGATTAGATAGCTTTAGTCCAGAAGAAACACAGCTCTTCATGATGCCATACCCCTGCATAGAACTTCCAGAAGTTGGTGATACCCTTTGTGGCAATTTCAGGGGGACCAATCAGGAGCCATGTTAGACTCTACAACCAACAAGGTTCTATCCTGGTTTACTGAATTCGGGCACTAATTGCTGACAGGGTACAGAGATAATCCTAAAGACATTCTGCCCTCAAAGCATTTATAGGCTAGAGCATTATGCAAAACAGATACATAAATAAATGACTATTTACAATTTTAGAAGGAGAAAAGCACAAAAAAAATACAGATAAATTGTGACAGAAATTCAGAGCAGGAAAAGATGGAAAAGGTAAAGAGTGGCTAGTGAGAGGAGGAGGAATAAAGAAGAATCTGAAAGGCCAGGCATGGTGGCTCACACCTGTAATCCCAACATTTTGGGAGGCCAAGGCAGGAGAGTCCCTTGATCCCAAGAGTTTGAGACCAGCCTGGGCAACAGAGTGGGACCCTGTCCCAATTTAAAAAAAAAAAAAAAGAAGAAGAAGAAGAATCTGAGAAGGCTTTTTGAAAGAATTCAATGAAGCATAAAACAAATTTAAGTGCTGAATTTTATGGTTTAAGCCAGGGCAGATAGTAAATATTTTAGGCTTTGCAGTTTATATGATCTCTGCTGCAACTATTCAACTCTTCTGTTGTAATGCAAAGGCAGCCAAAGACAATATGTAAATATGTGAGCATGGCTGTGTTCCAATAAAACTTTATTTATAAAAATAAGCACTGAGTCAGATTTGGCCCACAGGCTATAGTTACTGATCCCTGTTTTAAGCCATGATGTAGCACCCAGTGAAAGCTAGCATAATCATGAACAGATTTATAAACGATACAGTGCTTTGGTTAAGCTTTGATGAAAAAACAGAACTGGAATATGCAGCAAGAACAATCATAAAAAAGGTGCAATTAACAATTTGTGTGAGATATTAAAGAGACCAGGCCCTTAAGAGTTTCAAATGGAGAATTTTGGAAGGGGAAAATGCTTGAAGTAGAACTAGTTTGAGTAGGGTGGTTTTATGGAAAGCTTTGATAGATAAATAAGAAGTTTAGGCTAAGAC
This sequence comes from Homo sapiens, assembly GCF_000001405.40. Classification (NCBI taxonomy): domain Eukaryota; kingdom Metazoa; phylum Chordata; class Mammalia; order Primates; family Hominidae; genus Homo; species Homo sapiens. Next base: position 77,986,654 of record NC_000014.9, on the reverse strand, counting down.
AATGCGAATTAGGCAGACACTGAGAGTTTTTCAACTAGAAAATGATGGCATGCAAATATTTTTCAAATCACTAAATTCAAGAATTGGCCTCTGGGGCCATGAAGCATGCAAAACAAGGGTGCTGAGGCCTTTCCTCACAATCCAGGAGATACAAAAGGTGAATTTTTTTTTTTTTTTGAGACGGAGTCTCACTCTGTCCCCCAGGCTGGGGTGCAGTGGCACGATCTTGGCTCACTGCAACCTCTGCTTCCCGGGTTCAAGCAGTTCTCTGCCTCAGCCTCCCCAGTAGCTGGGATTACAGGCACCCGCAACCACGCCTGGCTAATTTTTGTCTTTTTAGTAGAGACAGTATTTCTAGTTTCACCATCTTGGCCAGGCTAGTCTTGAACTCCTGACCTCGTGATCCACCCAACTTGGCCTCCCAAAGTGCTGGGATTACAAGCGTGAGCCACCACGCCCAGCCAGGTGAAATTCAAAGTTAAAAATTTGCCCGTTTGCCCGGGCGTGGTGGCTCATGCCTGTAATGCCAGCACTTTGGGAGGCTCAGTTGGGCAGATCACTGGAGCCTAGGAGTTTGAAGCCAGCCTTGGCAACATAGTGAGACCTCATCTCTACAAAAAAAATATAAAAATTAGCTGGGTGTGGTGGTGCACGCCTATAGTCCCAGCTAGTCGAGAGGCTGAAGTGGATCTCTTGAGCACAGGAGGTTGAGGCTGCAATGAGCCATGATTGCACCACTGCACTCCAGGCTGTGTGACAGAATGAGACTCCTTCTCAAAAAAATATAAAATAAAGTAATAAAATAAAACACATAAAACCTTGCCCTTTATCTCCTGGCCAGCTAGTGGCCATCTGCTTCCATACACAAGGAAGGAGCCAGTCTGTACCTCACACATAGCTGGGCCCAGATTCTCAGAAGATTTCAAGTGTCCAATAAGGTCTGGGTTTGGCTTCCCTAAAGCAATGGGCATTTGTGTCTTCAGGTCCTCCACAAAAGGGACTCTCCCTCCATCTCTTCCCTGGCTGTCTCCACTTCCTCCACCCCAGAGCCCTCCTGCCTCTGTGAATCACATGTTGTAACAAATGAGATACCAAAGGTTCCGACAAGCTGCTCATCGTTATCCCCAGCAGGAGAAAAGCAGCCATGACCTGGAGCTGGGACCTTGTTAGAGTTTGTAATAAGCTGACGGGAAAATATTTCTGCCTGATTAGAATCCCTAATGAGCTGCTGACTATGATGAGCAGGGAAAGGCTGACTTCCAGCTCTCTCCTCAACCCCGCCCACACCTCTTCCTGTTCTCAAGCAGAGGTCCAGGCAGGAAAGGGTTCTTTGCCAGCAGTTAAAACCACAAAAACAAACACAAAACAGCCCCAGCAACCCTCAGCCCAGTCCCCCTTCTCCTGCGCATGAGAAGAAAGACTCCATCTTACTCATTTTTTCATGCACACCGTCCATGGACACCTGCCAACATCCTAATGATGCCACCTGGACCTATCTATAATTGGTGACCCACAGGTCCTGGTGAGGTCCTCACTCAAAAAGAAAGGGAAAGATGGGAGAATACAGCATCTGATGAACCACTGGAAACATGAGACCACAGCCAAATTCCCACAGTGGCCAGACAGAGCAAAATCCCAAAATGCAAACAATGTTGCTCAGTGTCAATTCAGAGAATATTTTGATATTCCCACTTTCTTCCAGTTGACTGGCTTTAGAAAGCATCTGGATTTGCTCCAGAGTGAATTGATCCACCACAATGAAGATTTTTAGAAGGAAAATGAAAACTCAAAACATATTTTGGGGATAGTTCATGGTTTAATAAAAAAATATATATTTGAGTTTAGTTTGAGATTCAGATTGTACTTATGTTCAAGGCCCTGTGGAGAAGCGACTTGAAATTTTGAAAGTTTAAAAGATTTTCATGTAGTCCAGTGTTGTGACCTCAGATGGAAGAAAGATGTTTTGTAACGGTAGAAAATGAAAGTATTCTAGGATTTGGTATTTTTTAAAAATCCCCCTTGGGGTCCCGGTGGGTTCTGTCTGTGGGATACAGCATCTCCCTCTTCATTCCCAAGGGATGAGAGAGAGAGAGACAGAGACAGAGATAGAAAGAGAGAGACCTTCTGCTGTATCCTCCTCAGAAGCAAGCTTTGGCTCTAGGATAAATCGCAAAGAATTAGGCTTTCAGCTGCCACCAAGCATATCACATCAGAGCAGTGGTTCTCAACCTTGGCTGTATATCATTATCACCTGGGGAGCTTTTAAAAGTTTGGCTCCTAGGGCCCACCCCCAGAGATTCTGAGTCAGTTGGTCTGGGGTGTGATTTGGGTATTGAGACCTAAATGTGCAGCTAGAGCTGAGAACGCTAGTCTAGACCAACGTTTCTCAAGCTTGAATGTGTATAAGCGTAGTTGCGATCTTGTTAAAAATGCAGATTCTGGTTCAGTAGGTCTGGGACGGGCCTGAGATTCTGCATTTTCAACAAGCTCCCAGGGGATGCTGATGCTACTGGTCCTTGAACCACTTTGAGTAGAAAGGATCTAACATCCTGAAGTGATGCGACATTTCTTTGACACCGTATTTGCCAGGACTCTGTCCACTGCAATCAGTAGAAATTCAAGTCAAATTGGAATCGTCAAAAGGAGGAATACACGGCTGGGGGTGGTGGCTCACACCTGTAATCCCAACACTTTGGGAGGCCGAAGCAGGCAGATCACTTGAGGTCAGGAGTTTGAGACCACCCTGGCCAACATGGTGAACCCCATCTCTCCTAAAAATACCAAAAAATTAGCTAGGCATGGTGGCATATGCCTGTAGTCCCAGCTACTGGGGAGGTTGAGGCATGAGAATCATTTGAACCCAGGACCTGGAGGTTGCAGTGGTCACACCACTGCACTCCAGCCTGGGTGATAGAGTGAGACGCTGTTTTAAAAAATAATAATAATAAAGAGAGAAAAATATATTGGTACAAATAAATGAGAAGTCTAAGGGTGGCTGGCTTTAGGCATGGCTGCATCCAGGAGCTCAAATTATGTCACTGGGATCTTTTCTTTCTATTTTGCTTTCCATTGAGTTTGCTCCATTTTCAGGCAGGTACTCTCCATGTGGCAACAAAGACGATGATCCCAAGCAGTCCCAGGCTTGCTCCATTCACATAGCTCATGAGGCCCTCTCTCCCTCATCTTCCATATTGGTCCCTGAAAATGACTCATTCTCCCCAGCTTGGGTCATTCGTGCACTGCAGAGCAGGGACAGGCAGAGCTCTCTGGTTAAGAGCCTCACCTGAAACACAGGTATTGGGGAATAACAGTTTTCCAAAGGAAAGTATGCAGGGCAAACCACAGAGGAGCACCACATGAGCTGCTGAGCCTGTGCTTTTAGCCATAGTGCTGCCCTCAGTAAAGCTCAGTGGCAGGAAATCCAGAAAGGAAGTTGTCTTCAAAGACAAAAAACTGACTGCCTGCATCCCAAATATGGCATCAGTCCTTGGCCTCTCTGTACCTCAGTTTCTTCATCTGTAAAATGGAAATCATAATAATATCTACCTCATAGGGTAATTGGATGAATTGCTACACATAAGCTGTTAGAATAATACCTGGCACATGGCTGCAAGTATTTTGATTCATTTGTTATAGCTACTCAGTGCTTAAAATGTTTTGTTTAAAGAAAAATATGAATTAGTTGCCAGTATTTCTTAATCAGGTTTTTGTGTGAAAATCCAGACGTCCAGATTCTTCTGAAAAGTTATAAGATCTGCCCTCATTCTACCTAATGCGGTAATAGCTAGCTGGAGCTGGATCTGGATCACAGCTGGGTACTCCCACTCCATGGTTTATGCCCTTTAGGGAGTTGCTCTCATTTCCTTTAACTCCTCAGCACCCATAGGCATCTGAGTTTGAGACCCTTGCTTTCTGCTTTTTAAAATGCACAGGCTGAATGTACTAGGATGGATGGTGTGCCAGCCACACATTCACCTGGCAGGCCTCACACCTGCTATTCACCCATTTAAAGATGAGGAAGCTGATCTCAGAAAGGCTAACTCACTCAGTGTTGAAAGAGCAGAGCCTCGGAGCCCAGGTCTTTGGTTCCTGATTCAACACCCTTCACCAACCTCTGGGCAAAACCTGACTCAGAAGCAGCTCAGGGAGCACTCTCAGTGCTGGCAGTGGGGTGGGATGGAAAAGGCCTGAGGGCTGCCCGGCAGCTCACACCTATACTCCCAGCAATTTGGGAGGCTGAGGCAGGCAGATCACTGGAGCTCAGGAGTTCGAGACCAATCTGGGCAACATAGCAAAACCCTATCTCTACAAAAAAAAATAGAAAAATGAGCCCAGCGTGGTGGTACGTGCCTGTGGTCCCAGCGACTGGGGAGGCTGAGGTGGGAGGATCACTTGAGCCCAGATTCGGCCACAGCACTCCAGCCTGGGTGAAAGAGCCAGACCCTGTCTCAAAAAAAAGCAGGGATGGGGGGAGGGGGCACCTGAGGGCTCTGCCCACCCTTCCTGGCTCTATGGACACTAGGGGCCAAGACAGCTGACTCTCAAGTAGGGTTACTAGATAAAATTCAAATGCCCAATTAAATTTGTATTTCATATAAATTTCAGATAAATGACCGATTTTTTAATGTAAGTATATCCCATGCATTATTTAAGATATACTAAATTTTTATACTAAAAATTTCATTGATTTTCAATAAAGGATGAATTATTTTACTATGTTTCAAATGCATAAGGCTTCCATATGCTAAAATAAAAGGGTTCATTTATCTGAAATTTACACGTAACCCGGTGCCCCGTACTTTTTTATTTGCTAAATCTGGCAACACAGCCATACAAAAGCCTGAGGGGGAAAAGAGCAGGGACCTTCAATCCACGGCTGCTTAGGAGCTCTGGCTTGGGAGGGACAGCAGCAAAGCAGCCCACCACCCCTCATCCTCACCCAAAATCAGAACTTTTGTTGTCCTCCTGACACTTATTTTCCGAGTCAGTGCTGTTTTTATTTCGTATTGTGGGCGCCATTCCTGTCTCAGTGATGAGGCCTCCAAGGGTCTTCATTCAGCCCTGCCACTGCCTCATTTCTGCAGTCACCAGGAAGCCCACCAGTGGTGGGAAACAGCGGGGATGGTGGCCAGATGATTCAGGTTTTTGGGGGGGCGACGGAGGGGCGGAATTGGTTGCTTTTTTTTTTTTTTTTTTTTTTTTTTTGAGGCTTTATCAATGCTAAATTCCTCGTGGGCTGAGAACAAGGCGAGTTTCTAGGGGCCCCTGGACTGCGCCCTGCCCTGCCGAGAGCGGCGAGACCGCCCGGGAGCCGCTGCTCCTGGGAACCGCAGGCGGGCTGAGTTTGTTCCAGGGCCGCTTGCCCGCCGGTCCGCCGAGCCTTTGCCCAGGTGGAGGCTGCTCCTGCGCTCCCGGGCCGTGGACGGCGCAGACACCCAGCGGGACTGCCCCCGCAGCTAGGGCTCTCGGCCTTCATTGGCAACCACAAGGGCCTGGGCTGGGGGAGGGCAGCAGGCGGAGCCCAGGCCTGGCTGAGGGAGCCTCTGCCCTCCCCGGATCCCAATCTGGGGCGGCGCGATAGCCCCTGCAGGCACCTGCCCAGGTGAAAGGGGCGGAGGAAGCGCGTGGCAGCCGAGTACGCAGGAGCGCGTGCGCGCGGACACAGGAACACGCACGCGCACACACACACGCACACACAGCCCGGCCTTGACTTGGGCCCAGCCGACCTCCCTGCCAATCCACCCACCTCCTAGGGTTAACAGTCAGCCCCGAGGCAGGGCCAGCTGTTCTGGGTGGAAGGCGACAGCTCGAAGACGCGCTAACCTCCAGCTCCGCCTGTCGCACTATTTCCTAACTCCTGAAACCCCAGGCTGCAGGTCAACACCAAAGCAAATTTATTCAGGGAGAAGAGGGGCTGCCTCTACCTCCTGCAAAGAGGCCAGCAACTGTGGCCAAAAGATGGGACCACGCACAAGGGGCAGTTCCCAGGGAGCCCAGTGCAGAGAGGATGCCCCGCCCCTAAACTGTCAGGGTCCTGTTGCTCTTGTCTTCTAAGCCTCCCTCACTACCACCCCCACCTTCCTTCTCCCAGTCCAGCCATCATTCAACTAACCCTGTTTTGTCTTCTGCTTTGCACTTCGCACTACCTGATGGTACATATTTGTTTGTTTATTGCCTCTCTCTCACCTGGCCCCTTCTAACACCCCCAGCACCTACAACAGTACCTGACATACAAAAGATCCTTCAGCATTGTGGTGGACGCTATAATAGCGTTGCCTCCGCTGAAGAGAGCTGCCTGGCCCAAGTCACGGCATCCTCCCCAGGTTGGACTGATGGAGGTCCAGCATCTGTTTCCAATTCCGAACAACTTTGAGGAGCACGTCTAGCTCCCGAGCGTTCTGTGGGGTTAGCTGAGGCTGTTGCATGGTCTCCCTTTGTGCACTCTTAAATCTGTCCCGAACTCCTCAAACAGCCTGCGCAACAAACTCTGTCTCAGTTGGCTTCCCAGGAAGCCCAACCACAAACCACAGCAATAAATATTTGTGGAATAAAAGTGGGGGCTGGAGGAGAAAGGGCTTTCTCTTTATTGGAGGACTCTTTATTGTTGATCACCTCCCACATCCAAAAAGTACCTGAAATCTGTGTACTTCTCTCCCCGTCCAATGCCACCACCATAATCAAAGCCACCACCCTCTCTTGTTTGGTGCCCTGCTTACCTCTGCAGCAGCCACTGTTGATGCCCGCCCCAGACCTCCTCCACCCTCTTCTGAGCTCATCTGCAGCTGCGGCGGAGGATTACTGAGACCCCTAGGGGGCAGCTCCCACCTCTAGTGCTCCTCCACTTGAGGGCGTTTTCCAGCACCACAGGAGCTTGTTCAGCCTCTAAGCAGGGCAGCCCACAAGGGTTAGGGATTTAACACCCCCAGGGACGCTCCTCAACCCACAGGAGCAAGAGTCAATAGATAAATACCCCATCTTATCCCTCACGTTCCACAAAGTGGGCTTCAGCCCCAGGTGCCCACAGCGGCAACCCATCATTAATCTGCCCTTTATTTACTGGCATTTCTGTCTTCTCTCCTCCTTTCTCACATTTCCTCACTTGTGCTTCCCAAATAACAACCACCTGCACCCCACTCCGTGTCTCAGTGTCTGCGTTTGGGGAAATCCGCACGAGGCCAGCCCCCTACCCAGCCTCGTCTCTTCAACTTTGCTGCTTTGAGCCTCCAGAAGACAGCCTTGCAGAGACACTGGCCTTATCTCAGCTTCTTTCATGCCACAGGGACTTCAGTTGTGCGACTCAATGTATTCTTTCATTCAGCAACTATTCATGGAGTGCCAACTGTTCAAGGCACTGGGATACAGCAGCAAAAAAGAGTCAAAAATCTTTGCCCTCATGGAACTGAGGGTGTCCATCTACCATTAAGTCTCAGCTTCAGCATCCCATCCTCAAAGTCATTGTACCTGTCCTGCCCCTCCCCCATCTAACATCCCCTAATAACTACCCCCACAGAGCTCAGTCCTTGCTCGTCGTATCTGTCACCGGATGATTCTGTCACCACCATACGGACTCCATCAGCACAGGTCTATGCCTCTGTAACCCAATGCCCACTGTACCCTCTGCCCTTAGCATGATGCTTGGTGCCCCATTAGGGCTCAGAAAACATTGGAATGATAATGAACGAACTAATGCCACCATTGTCGTGACTGAAAGATGAGACGAGAAGTGAGAAACTCATCCTCATGAGTGGATAAGGAGAGGCAGTCAAGGAGGAAAATTTCACAATGACCAGTACTTGGACAGCACTAAGGCTGAGATGACCACAAATTTTGGAGTCCTAGACCATCTGGTAGCATCAGGAATGTCCCTAGGGCCTGGAAATAGTGGCAAGAAGGAGAAACAGGAAGATGCAGAAAGGTCAGGTCATCAAAAGCGTATCTCTCTCCTTCACCATCTCCCAGCCACAGAATGTCAGAAATGGAAGGACGCTCAGAGACCATCCATTCTCTCATTTCACAGGTGAGAAGACCAAGGCTACAGGCCCCTTGGCCTAGTGAAGGGCCTACGATTAGTGACAAGCTTCCAAACTCTAAGCTCATGGCTTGCTAATCTGAGCCTCAAGGTGGTCCATTGTAGGCTTGCAGTGGACTGAATGTTTGTGTCTCCCAAAATTCATGTGTTGAAGCCCCAGTCCCAGTGTGATGGTATTTGGAGATGGGGCCTTCAGGAGGTAATAGGTCACATAGGTGGAGCCTTCATGAATGGGATTAGTGCCCTCATAAGCAGCCCCATGGAGCTAGTGAGCTCTCTTTCTGCCATGTGAGGATACAAGGCAGCTGTCTGCAGCCTGGAAGAGGGCCCTTACCACAACCCAACCGTGCTGGTATCCTGAGCTCAGATTTCCCAGCCTCCAGAACTGTAAGAAGTAAATGTTTGGTGTTTAAGCCCCCCAGTCTATGGTAATTGGTTATATCAGCCGGAATGGACTGAGATAGGGCTATAGGCACAGCCTCTCAAGCCACTGCCCTTAGCCATTTGAAGCTCATTGTTCCAGGGGAGAGGGCTTCCAGGCTATGCACCAGCAATCAGTGACTCATAGGATGGCAAACCCCTCTCTTTGGAACCTAACACTTTCTCCTTTCTTGCTCCCCACAAAAGACTGTTCTAGGGAGACTCCTGCTTTCTAGAACTTATGCTTTGGATTCCAACAACTCCTCTCAAACTCTTGCCCTATTCCCACATTTAGGGCTCCTCAAAAAAGCTCAGTGTCCCCAGGAGAGTCTGTGCATACCACATGTGACTTGGACAATAAAAGCAAGCCTCCCTCATTGACACCGTACAAGGTTCTGCCCATTCTTTTGGATTTTGTCCCAGAAATAAGCCTCAGCCCAAACTGAATGGCAGATTGTCAATGACGACTAGGAAGTGTCCCAACCAGTCTTCTTATACTTTGTCTTCAGTGTATCAGAAGAATGAGCAAACATACAGAAAAAAAAAATAGCCCACATGTATTGAAGGCTTAGTATGTGCCAAGAACTAAGGTAAGCACTATATTGGTTTTATTGCAACAATCTTATGAGGTAGGTACTTTTATTATCAGCCCCATTTACTTATGAGGAAACTGAGGCTTAGTGAGGTTAAGTGACTTGCCCAAGGCCACACAGTTCATAGGTGAAAGTATTAGAAATCAAGCTCCATCTCCTTCCTAGCAACCCTACCCCCACTTCTCTCCCCTCTCTCAGACTGACTCTCTTGCTCTCTCTGTCTCTCTTTTACACACACACACCCACACACACACACACACACACACACCCATTGTTATGCAGAGAAGTGGATAGGGAGTTAGTGGTGTGTCCTGTAGGGTGTATTTCTTTAGAGCATTTACAGTTTTAAAGTGGATGTCTAAAGAGGCAATACTAACCAAAGAATGGGTGGTTCTCTGCCTTAGAGTGTCCCAGTTGTAATTTGTTACTATTAACAGCGAAGGAACTAAAATTTGGGCATTAGCTGCTTTTTGGAAAACTAGAGTGAATTCAAGATCCTCTCTAAAACCCCACAGTCACTTGGATTTGACACGTATTCTTGAGTGGAAGCAAGAGGATGGCATGACAGCTAGTTCACTGGTAACTGCATAACCCACAACCCATTTTGATTATGGCACATCCAAGTGAGTAATTATGACAGGTGTATTATTAATAGTTGTGGCATTTAGAAAGTAGTATAGCATTTTCTTTCTCCCAGTATTTTTAGACTTTATCAAAATTTGAGTATCCCCACGGGAGTATATTCCCTGACATGGGAACATCATCCATCATGCATGTGGCAGTTGGAAAGAGAAGCTCTAAAAAAAAAAACTGCAGGCACAGAAGGCTCTTTGCTGAGCTATATAGGAAGCCCCGACAGTGGGTAAGGCACTTTGTATTTATTCAAGAAGGTCCCTGACCCTACATCTTCCATGAAATCTTCCTCTATATTCTGTCATTACATGCCAGGGCCAGGTAGACTTGCAAAGGGAATGACTAGTGTGCAATTGGTCCTCAGGTGACTGATGCAAACATTTATTCATTCATTCATTCATTTATTCACCCACTTATTTACTGAACTGATATTTATTAGCACTTGCTATGTAGCAGACATAGTACTCTGCATTGGGGTTACTTTGCTCATTCAAGTAAACCTAGTCTCTGCCTTCATAAAGATTACAGTCTCAAAGATGATGATACCCATGACAGTCAGACTCTGTGCAGAAGAGAGGACCAGATGTCAGCCTAGGTCTCCATGGGGTTCATGCATTCATTCAGCAAACATTTAGTAAATGTGACTGTTGCTGGGACACAGGAAAACTCAGACAAGAGTTCAGAGTCAAGAGGCAAATGCAGAATGCCAACGTGGCACAGTAAGTTCTGCAGAGTTCAGTCATGACATAAGTGCATGTAACATTTGTGCATGCATTAAACAGCAAAAGAGAGAGAGAGAGAGAAAGCAATCAGCTAAATAACACAGTGATTCATCTACCATTCCTTTCAGTAAGCAATGCCCCAGCATTGACCTGAGATAGCAAAGGTGAAACTTGTGTATCTTCAGTATTTTCCAGTTCCCATGTACCTCTCTTGGTGTGATCATTGCCCACCTCACTGACATCCATTTATTATTGAAAACACACATTTTTTTCTCCATACAAGGGTCCCTAAGCTCAAGGCACTACTGCATCCAGCAATCAGGCAAAGAATCAGGCATCTGTTTCATCACTGGCTGGACTGGACTTCTCATGGGCTGTGATGTATTTAACAGGTAGGGTAACCAGATAGTTTATCATCCAACTGCTGAGAGAGAAGTGAGGCACTATTAATAATTACACCAGAAGATGAGGCATAAACAGATTGTCCTGGGAAAGCCACACATAGGGCATCCATCTTCACAGGTAGGTGAGTTAAGGGATTCTTATTTATTTATTCTTTAATCTAAAAAGAGAGGCTCGGTGCAGTGGCTCCTGCCTACAATCCCAACATTTTGGGAGGCCAAGACAGGAGGGTCACTTGAGGCCAGGAGTTTGAGACCAGCCTGGCCAACATGGCAAGACCTCGTCTCTATGAAAAATAAATTTAAAAATACAAAGAAGGGTTTTTTTTAAAAGAAAATAATGGGTTTTGCTCTACAGGTATTAAATGTAAAAATGTTCTCTGGTTTTCATTTTACTTTTACTTTAAAATAGATTAAAAGTTCACCGTTTATTCAAAAGTGAAAACTCCTCCTCCCAGTCCTGTCCTCAGCCATTCACTTGCCCCAAGAGGCAACCAATGTCACTAAATTCCTGCAGGTCCTTCCAGAGATGTTTAATGCATATTCAAGCATATATATATATATATAGATATAGATATATAGATATATAGATATATATATAGATATATACACATACACACACACACACACACACACACACACACATATATATGTGCTTGGCTCAATTCCCATGGCTCTTCCAATACCATCCAACATAAGGAAAGTATGACACAGGGAAAATCAGAGTAGAAACAGACAGCAGTCTTCATAGTTGCAGTTGAAATAAACTTTTGCAAAGATGGTTACAAAAGCACATGACCATGTGATACTTTGCTAGGCCCTCCCAAGGCCTTGGGAGAGGTTTCTAGAGGCAAGTGAGGGGCTTAGCAGCTTAAGCGCCATTACCCTGTGGTAGACACCATTGGCCAGCAGGGTTCTACATACAGTCTGATCAATCAGTTGTGCATGATTTGGAAGGTGGAAGGGAGGCAGAAGCCCTTTTTCCACTGCAGCAGTAGAGGGTGAGGCTGGCTTCAGCAGATATGAGTTTGTGGAGTGGCCACTGGGCTCCGTATTCCACAATTCATCACCGACTTTGGAGCTATAGACTGTAAATTAGCTATGTGGGTCCTGCAGCAGCTTTCACCTATTTTTGGTTTGTTTGTTTGATTTAATGGAATTTCCATTTTAGCATGCAGGAAATAAGAGAGAGGAATACAACACTATATATATATATTAGCACGGCATTCACACTATTTTGCATTTACTTTTTCTTTTAACAATATGCATTAGAGATAATTCTGTATCAATACAACAAGCTTCCTCCTAATATATGATGCATATTATTTCACTGTGGATATGCATAATTTATTTAACCTGTCCCCATGGATGGACATATAGATTGTTTCTCATCTTTTGCTGCAATGAATGACCTTGACCATACATCATTTTGCCTATGTGCCCGAATACCTGCAGGGCAAATTCCTGGAAGTGGTATTGCCGTGTCAAAGGACAAATACATATATCAGTTAGGATTCTGTTCGGTTGCTCACAACAGAAAAGGCAAGATAACAGTCACTTGAACAAGAAAGAGGTTTATTTCTCCCTCAAATAAAAGGAGTCTGGAGGTAGGCAATCCAGGGCTGCCATGAGGCTTCCCAATGTCATGAGGGACAAGAATTCTATCCTTTTGCCCTGCCATTCTCTATCCAAAGTTTATACAACTGCAGAAGCCTTTTTTAAGTATTAGGTTGGTGCAAAAGTAATTGGAGTTTTTGCACCAACCGAATAACAAAATACAAAATTGCAAATAGTTATATGGAATGAGAAAAAAAATCACAACATATTGTAAATTTTAAAAAGCTGTAAGACTACAAACATCACAAAATCCAGGAAAAATAATGTTATATTTATTCAGCTGCTCAATATACCTTTATAATAGGGTTTTTTCCCACACTTTGGGGGTTATATTATCTTTGATCACTTTTTCACAGGACAAGATTTTGCAATATTATCTTCTGGAGAAGAAATAGAAAGACAATTGATGTTTTCCTCTAGCATAGCTTATTATTTTTATTATTGACAGCTGTTACGTATAAAACATATGAGACATTCATTGTTTATAGTATCGTGACAGGTTTGTGCCTTACAAATATAAGAATTCTGATAAACTCTATAATTCATGATGCCCATTTAAAAAACTGGTATATTTATAAGTGTATAAGCTAAACTACTGGGCATATTTCTCACAGGAAAAAGCTTCCATTTTGACTAGGCATCAATGAGTAGCAAATTGTCTACTTAGAATTTCACACAACTGATAAGTGGAAGAATATTACACAGACTGGTTTCCAGATCATGCATTTTAATCTCTTTCCTCCTCCACTACCAACATACTTCTGATGCTGTACATAGAACACATTCTTCTTGTGATCTGACCTCTCGCCCTGCGCTTTTGTGTCATAAAGCCAGGTGAGCTGGCACTGTAAGCAGTAGAGGTACTCATAGAACCATTCCTATGAGAGAATGACTAGCAAATAACCGCAAATTACAGAAACACCCGCCAAACACCGGCTAAATGCATCCCAGCTCAACTTCCTCTTAGCTGGATCCCAAAAATTCCCATGGCTCTTCCAATACAATCCAACATAAGGAAAGTACGATACAGGGAAAATTAGGGTAGAAACAGACAGCAGTCTTAATAGTTGCAGTTGAAATATACTTTCAACTTGCAAAGATGGTTACAAAAGCATACGACCATGTGATACTTTGCTAGGCCCTCCCAAGGCCATGGGAGAGGTTTCTAGAGGCAAGTGAGGGGCTTAGCAGCTTAAGCGCCATTACCCTGTGTTAGATGCCATTGGCCAGCAGGGTTCTACGTACAGTCTGGTCAGTCACTCATGCATGATTTGGAAGGTGGAAGGGAGGCAGAAGCCCTTCATCCACAGCAGCAGTAGTAGGTGTGGCTGGCTTCAGCAGACCTGAGATTGTGGAGTGGCAACTGGGCTCCATATTCCTCAGTTCATCACCTACTTTGGAGCTATAGGCTGTAAATCAGCTATGAGGATCCTGCAGCAGCTTTCACCTGTTTTTTGTTTGTTTGTTTGTTTGATTTAATGGAATTTCCATTTTAGCATTCAGGAAACAAAAGAGAAGAATACAATGAACACTCATGTACCATCCACCTGGTCTCAGCCATTGTTAATATTTGGCCATTTTTTGCCTTGTAACTGAATCATTTCTTAGTAAATTAAAAACATCATGACACTTCACCCCTAAATACTTCAACATGTATCTCCAAAACCTAGAGAAAAAATTCCAATTAACAATACCAGAATTATACCTAACAAAAATAGTAATAGTCCCCTAATATCATCCAAAACTCACTTTATATTCAAATTTCTACAATTGTCCTAAAAATGTCTTTTATAGCTTTTCTTTGGAACCAGAATCCAATAAGTTTCATACAGTGAGTTTATTTATTATGTCTCTTAAGTCTTGCCTAATATAGGACAATCCCCCTTCATCATTTTTTTAATGACATTGAGTCTTTGAAGACATCAGGCCCACTGTCATGTAGCATATCCCACATTCTAAATACATCTATTTTCTCATGCTCTCATTTAAGCAGTATTAGTATCTTCTACAAATTGAGGTAGATCTAATGGCTTGTTTTTTTTAAAGCCAGGTTTACTAAGGTAAAACTTAGGCATGGTAAACTTCATCCTTTTTAGTTTACAGTTTTATTTGTTTTGATAAATGCATATAGTCATGTAATCTAAAAACTTGGTTTAATTCAGATTTAATGCAATTGATCAAATACTTTAAATGATGCTATGAACTTCCTATTGGATTTCATATCACATCAGCAGGCACATAATGTCTAGTTGTCCTATTATTAATGATACTAATTTAGAACATTTAGTTCTTATAGCTTTCTGATCTCTGAATGTGCGTTGGTTTTCTATTGCTATGCAAAAAATTACTACAAACTTGGTGGCTTAAAGCAACACCTACTTATTAGCTCACAGTTCTATAGGTCAGAAGGCAGGCGCGGCATTGCTAGGTTCCCGCTTAGGCTATCATAAGGCTAAAATCTGGGTGTTGGCAGCTACATTTTCTTTTTTTTATTTTTTTGAGAGGGAGTTTCACTCTGTCAACCCGGCTGGAGTGCAGTGGCCCAATCATGGCTCATTGCAACCTCCGCCTCCCGGGTTCAAGCAATTCTCCTGCCTCAGCCTCCTGAGTAGCTGGGATTACAGGCATGCACCACCATGCCTGGCTAATTTTTGTATTTTTAGTAGAGACAGGGTTTCACCATGTTGACCAGGCTGGTCTCAAACTCCCGACCTCATGTAACCCGACCTCATGTGATCCACCCGCCTCCGCCTCCCGAAGTGCTGGGATTACAGGCATGAGACACCACGCCTGGCCTACATTTTCATTTGGAGCTCGGAGTCCTCTTCCAACCTCTTTAAGGTTGGAGGCAGAATTCGGTTCTGACTGATCTTAATTGTCAAGGGAAATTTTTTTTTTTTTTTTTGAGACTGAGTCTTGCTCTGTCGCCCAGGATGGAATGCAGTGGTGCTATCTCGGCTCACTGCAAGCTCCGCCTCCCGGGTTCACACCATTCTCCTGCCTCAGCCTCCCGAGTAGCTGGGACTACAGGCGCTTGCCACCACACCTGGCTAATATTTTCTATTTTTAGTAGAGACGGGGTTTCACCGTGGTAGCCAGGATGGTCTCAATCTCCTGACCTCGTGATCTGCCCGTCTCAGCCTCCCAAAGTGCTGGGATTACAGGCGTGAGCCACCGCACCCGGCCTGGTCAAGGGAAATTTTGACTGATGCTACTCAGTGGTGACTTGAGGGAGTACATCTGGAACCCAGAGGATTCTTTGGAATGCCTACTAGTACCTAGTGATGGTTAATTTTGTGTCAACTTGACTGAGCCAAGGGATGCCCAGATTAAATGTTATCTCTGGATGTGTCTCTGAGGGTGTTTCCGAGTGAGCACAGCACCGCCTTACCAGTCACCCTGGCCACAAAACTAGCAAGACTCTGACTCATCTCTTTATCTCAGCACCCCTCTCTCCCCATCCAATCCTCAGCAATCCATTGGCTCTACCTTTAAAATTCATCTAGAACATGATGTCCACAGCCCCACTATGGTCCCCAGCTTATTGTAGCAGCCTCCAACTGTCTTCCCTACTTTCATTCTCGTCACCTAAATCTACTCTTAACACAGCTGTTGGAATGATTTCCTTAAAGCATGTCATATCATGTCACTATGTGACATGTCCGATCACAGTCCTTCATTGGAATCTGATATTATAGTAACAGCCAGCTCTTGCAATGGCCTACAAAGCTCTCCAGAATCTGAGGGTTATGCCAGGTCCAGTCTCCAGTTACCATCTCCATGCTCATAAAAGAAAACAGGAAGAGCATACCAGGAGCGAAGCAAAGCGGTCTTCCAAGGGACTGAACCATGATAACAGAGAGAGCTCTCGGGGTAGGAGCAGCAGACTTGGTTTCTCATCCTTGCTATGCCACTAACTCTAAGGACCTTGAACTACTTATTGCCTGCTCCAAGCATCCCTTTCTTCATTGTGCAGAGAGACAGCTGGCTCACATAATCTCACAGGTTCCTTCCAGCTTGGAAATTCCACAATCGACAATCAAGGTGCCAACTCCATTAACAAGGGAGATAAGTGCATATCATAGACATACCTTTCCTGCCTAAAGTATCTGAGTTACCAGTACAATGTGTTAAAGGAAAAATAAACACATAACCAGTGCCTGCTAGAAAGGCCTTTTCTGGGAGAAGCAGAAGCTCTAAGAAAATTACTTAGAAAGGAGGAGTTATAAAGAGAACTGGGTGACTGAAAGGCTGTCCATAAAGGCTGGCACTACTCACCTCACAGATGTGTTTATAACCAGTGTGCTCATTCTTTTTGTGTAACAATTATGATAATGGCAAGCAAAAATGTAGACTCCACAACATGCCAGGGAAAAGGCTAGGAATAAACTTAATTCCTGAAAACCTAGATTTAGGAAGCCATGACGCTAAAAAGGCAGAGTTTCGTGCATATACACGGATCTATAAATAAGTTGAAGCTTGTGTTGGTTTATGGACACATCTGGCCATATGCCCGTGCTTAGGTGTACATGCCTATACACACATTCACATATTGGAGCCTGGCTCTTTAAAATGGGGGATAATGACACTGGAAATTATTCTAAGCTTTTCAGAGACATAAATGACCAAACTGCCTCCTGACTCCTGAATTACATTACCCAGAAAGAACTTAATAACATGGTATTATCACTTCTCCTCACTGACAGGATTTCAGGGCTGAAAAGACAAACAAGGAATGCGTTCATAATCACCAGCACAGTCACCTCTGCCGAGCTGCGACCACTGCTAATTCCAGGTAAATGCTTCAGGGTAGACGAAAGCCTAGAGCTGTAATGTAACTTGGTGCTTGGTAATTGTCGCTAGTTCAGCTGGGCCATCACCATCTGAGAAGGGGCCTCCGGGAGCTCATGGAGCCAACAGAGAGTCTCATGGGGTGAAGGGCAGTGAAGAGAGACTACATTATGGGAAACAAAATAGAATTTCTCAGTTCAACTGAGATAATGTAGGTGAAATTCCTTATAAACTGTAAAGTGCTCCACAAATGTGACTGTGAATGTGAGGGGATAGCATTAATGGGTGCTGTTTGTGTTCTCAGGGCTGCCATTTACAGCCGTAGACTGTGCACTGTTCAACTTCTGAGAATGTCATTAGTCTATGTGAATGATGCTCCCTGGAGTTGTGCATTGTGGCAGTCCTGTTGGTTGAAATGGGCCCAGCTGACTGATAAAGACCAATATGAGAGCTAATGTTCTTCTCCTGGACAATGCTTGAGCCTTAATGATGGACCATCCAGGAGATAGTCAACAGTTCTAACAGCAATTTGCCAGTGCTTTGGGAAGTTTGCTTCAGAGTAATTAAAAGGCAACTACAAACAAGATCATTGAGGGAAGGAGCCATATCTTATTCATATCTTAGTATCCCAGTCTTGCAATATGTTTGGTATGTGATGAATATTCAGAAAACATTTGTTGAATTTAAGATGAATAGTGAGTGGATGGTGCCAGGCACGGTGGTTCATGCCTGTAATCCTAACACTTTGGGAGGCCAAGTGAGAACTGCTTGAGCCCAGGAATTTGAGACCAGTCTGGGTAACGTTGGGAGACCCTATCTCTACAAAACAATTTTTTTTTTTTTGAGATGGAGTCTCGCTCTGTTGCCCAGGCTGGAACACAGTGGCGCGATCTTCGCTCACTGCAACTTCCGCCTCCTAGCTTCAAGCAATTCTCCTGCTTCAATCTCCTGAGTAGCTGGGACTACAGGCACCCACCACGATGCCTGGATAGTTTTTGTATTTTTAGTAGAGAAGGAGTTTCACCATGCTGGCCAGGCTGGTCTCGAACTCCTGACCTCGTGATCGGCCTGCCTCAGCCTCCCAAACTGCTGGGATTACAGGCGTGAGCCACCGCACCCAGCCTACAAAACATTTTTAAAAATTAGCCGGCCATGGTGACACACACCTGTAGTCTTAGCTATCCAGGAGGCTGAGACAAGAGGATCACTTGAGCCCAGGAGGACGAGACCGCTGTGAGCTGCTACGATCACGTAACTGCACTCCAGCTTGGGCAACAGGCTGAGACACTCTCTCCAAAAAAGGAAAAAAAACAAGAATGGATTGATATTGATATTGAATGAATGACTCCCTGGGGTCAGCTCCTGGAAAGAATAATTGGGTTGTGATCGTTGCAAAGAGCATGTTTATTTCAACAGGTACAACTGCATACTCTGCCCACGTCACCTTTTTCCATTAATAGGGTTATGGGAAGCCTTTTGTGAAGTCTTCTGTGAAGGGCCATCGACATGTCATGGTTTCAGCAAGAGTTTGTCCAGGATTTGTGATGTGTCTCATCCAGTGCTAGGTGCTGTGGGCCTGTGTGATGGTGATGGCAGTGGGGACAGCAAACAGAGCACAGGTTGTGGTCCTTGTCATCAAGGATCTTCCAATTCAGATGGTTTGGTCACATGTAAGTTCATATAAAAAGTAGAATAATGCTGCCAAGTGGTATGAACCCAAATACCATTGAACAGCAAAAATGGTGAGTGTTACCAGAGGCCATGGCAGAAAGCACAGGATGTCTCCTCTGCCACTTGTTATATGTTCATAAGAAATCTACTTATTTGTCTGAGCCTCTGTGTCCCAGTTTGTAAGACAGGTAATCATGTCTGCCACACAAGATACGGACTAAACTCTTTAGGACACAGGTCCTTAGACAGCAGATTGAAACAGATATTTAAAGTACATAACAGTACCTGACACATGGGAGAAGTTTCCAGAAGGTTGGTTCCTGTACAAGGATTTTTCAGTCACAAGTGCAGAATCCTAACTGATCACAACCTAAGCACAAAAGTGGGGTGGGGAGTGGGGGGACATGACTTATTGATTTATATAACCCCCAAAGTGCAACAATAAATAGGCTTCAGGCATAGCAGGATCCAGGAGCTCAAATGATGTCACCAGGGCTCTGCCTCTATTGCCATTTCTCACACAAGCCATTTCTCACACAAGCTAGAGGGGTAAGAATAGGCAGCAGCAACCTGAGTCCAGGTTAACCCCAGAAGGAGCTCCTCTTCCCAGAAATTGGGGGACGAAAGTCTCCAGGAGGTCTCTGATTGGTGCAAATAAGCTCATGCATCATCCCTTACCCAATCACTGTGGCCAGAGGAATTCGATGATCTGATGGGCAGGGCCTGAGTTCGGTTCCCACTCCTTTGTTGACGCGGGTGAGGGCAGTGGTAGGACCACCCAAACCATGTGGAATGAGTTTCTGAGTGGGAACAGGCTACCTAGTTCTTCTGTAAACTCAGAAGAAATTAATAAAAGTGAGAGCTGCTTGTTTCTCCGGGGTGAAAAATGGGAAAGCTCATATTTCCTTACAGAAACAAAAAATAGGCCGACTCACGGCTGTAATCCCAGCACTTTGGGAGGCCGAGGAAGGCGGATCACGAGGTCAGGAGTTCGAGACCAGCCTGACCAACATGGTGAAACCCCATCTCTACTAAAAATACAAAAATTAGCCAGTCGTGATAGCGGACGCCTGTAATCCCAGCTACTCAGGAGGCTGAGGCAGGAGAATTGCTTGAACCCAGGAGACGGAGGTTGCAGTGAGCCAAGATCGCGCCACTGCACTCCAGCCTTGGCGACAGAGCTACTCTCAAAAAATACATATATAGTATGCGAACGCGAACAGAGTGTGTACGTGTGTGTGTGTGTGTGTGTGTGTGTGTGTGTGTGTGTGTGTGTGTGTGTGTAGCTTCCCTAGGCTGACTAGGGGAGTGGTACCCGCTGGCCGGGCAAGCGGGACTTCCGCGACCCCAGGGAACAGGCAAAAAGCGCAAAGCGCAAAGCGGGGAGCGCATCCGGAGAGGGTCCCCGGAGGCCTGGGGTAGTCGGAGCTGAGCCCTCGTTAGAAGGAGGGCAGTGGCAGGCAAAGGGGAGGGAGGCAGGGACGCGCCCCGCCTGGCTGAACCTGGAGCCGGTGTCTGAGCGGCTATTCTGGACACGCACTGGGCAGGAACATCCTGGCGCCCAGAGGAGAGCAGGGCACCGACACCCAGCCGCTCGCGGTCAGAGCAGCCGGGCAGCCGACCGTGGCCGCCGGGAGGGGCTGAGCCAGGCGCCGGCACAGCCCGCGAAGCCTCCTTCCCTAACGTTCTGTTCCATTTTCTCGGTATTGAAAGTAAAAGGGCGGGGGCAGGGACGGAGGGCTGTTTACCTAACATCCTGTAACTGCGGCCTTGAGTAACCAAGCATTTAACGTCAGAGAGCAGGAGAGAGGGAAGGGGGAGAGAGAGGGAGCAGAGACAGAAATCAAGCATGGGCATAAAATGTGCCGTCACCATCATCACATTCAATCATTTACATGCATGTTTGTCCGGTGCATGCTATTTTTCTAAACTATATTTAGGACACAGGAGTTAGGAGAGCAAGCCCAGAGTGGGACTGCACACATCCCAGCCACCTCCTAGAGCGAGGTACTTAGCCTCTCTGTGCCTCAGTTTCCTCCTTGGTGAAATGAGGTACAGTAGTTGTGAAAATTAGAATGTCGTTTTTACAAAGTATGTTAAAGTACTTAGCACCTAACTATTATTATTATTGACTTTATGGTGCTATAGTCAGGAATTACCATCAACATGGTGCTACCTTTTCTGAGTTTATTTAACCAACTCAGGTATAGAAACACATTTTGGAATTTCTGTTTGTAAAAATATCTGCTGGGCTGAAATAGACACGTAGAAAACATGTCCTGTGATAAGGCTGAATTCTAAGATGGCCCCCCAAATCCCCACACTACTGCCCTCCCACCCCACCCCTACACATCTTGTATAATCACCTCATTTTCAATGTGGGCCAAACCTATGAATAGGATGGGATGTCACTCTGTGATTGGCTTATGTTACCCAGCAAAAGTGAAAAGATTTTGCTGCACAGTCGATTCGGAGTTCATCAAAGGAGATTATCTGGGTGGGCCTGGCTTAATCAGGTGAGAGGAACTGGGTCCTTCCTGAGGTTGGAGAGACCCTCTCCTGCTGGCCTCGAAGAAGCAGCCATGCTGTGAACTGCCTATGGAGGGGTCAGCATTTAGGAACTGAACGCTTCCAGCTGGGTGCAATGGCTCATGCCTGTAATCCCAGCACTTAGGCCAAGGCAGGTGGATCACCTGAGGTTGGAAGTTTGAGACCAGCCTGGCCAACCTGGTGAAATCCTGTCTCTACTAAAAATACAAAAATTTGCTGGGCATGGTGGCGCACGCCTGTAATCTCAGCTACTCGGGAGGCTGAGAGAGGAGAATTGCTTGACCCCAGTAGGCGGAGGTTGCAGTGAGCCAAGTTTGCGCCACTGCATTCCAGCCTGGACAACAGAGCAAGACTCTGTCTCAAAAAAATAAAGGGAACTGAACACCTCAATCCTACAACCACAAGGAAATGAACTCAGCCAACAATCTGAATGAGCTCAGAAGACAACCTGGCACCTCAGATAAGAGCACATCCAGTCAGCTTTGACTGCAGCCTTGTGAGACCCTCTCTGATCAGAGGACCCAACTAAGCTGTGCTCAAACTCCTGACCCACAGACACTGTAGACAGGTGTGTGCTATTTTAAGCCCCTGAGTTACTGCTAATTTGTTATATAGGCTGAGGCACACAGTTCACCTGAGGTCAGGAGTGCGAGACCAGCCTGGCCAATATGGTGAAACCTTGTCTCTACTAAACATACAAAAATTAGCTGGGCATGGTGGCACACACCTGTAGTCCCAGCTACTCAGGAGGCTGAGGTATGAGAATCCCTTAAACTCAGGAGGCGAAGGTTGCAGTGAGCTGAGATAGTGCCACTGAACTCCAGCCTGGGTGACAGAGCGAGACTCCATCTCAAAAGAAAATAGTATGCATTCTATATCTGCTTAAAAACTGTTTAAATTCTGCTTAAAGGGTGAGAGACAGAGAGAGGAAATATGAATAAAAACATGGCCATGTTTTCTTGTGATTGAAAACGTGAAGTATCATCCATTCAACAGGCATTTATTAAGCATCTACTTAGTACCTGCAAGGCAGTGGACTGGGAATTTAATCAGAATCTGAAACCAACACTGAGGCCAGGCATGGTGGTTCATGACTGTAATCCCAGCACTTTGGGACATCAAGGCAAGAGGATCTCTTGAGCCCAGGAGTTCAAGACCAACCTAGGCAACACAGGGAGACCCTGTGTCTAAAAAATATTTTAAAAATTAGGCAGGCATGGTGATGCATGCCTGTGGTCCCAACTACAAGGGAGGCTGAGGTGGGAGGATTACTTGAGCCCAGGACATTGAGGCTGCAGTGAGCCATGATCCTGCCACTGCACTGCACCCTGGGTGACAGAGCAAGAACCTGTCTAAAAAAAAAAAAGAAAAGAAACCAGAAAATGTTACTGATACTACCCAGAAGAATTAAAGGAAAAATTGTTGACATTGAAATATAAGGTCTCCTTAAATCATTCTTATCACAGCTTATATTTGTCAAGGATAAAGGTTTCTTTGAGGTAGGGAATGAATAACAATAATATTAATAGTAATAATAATAATAGCCAATCTAAAGTGTTTAGTTTGTACCAGGCAATGTGCTAAGCAGTTGAAGTGCCTCTTCTCATTCAGTCCTTATTCAAATAACACTAAGAGGGTAGAAAGTGGGGACCATTACTATTTTCATGTTATAGAGGAATAAAAAGGGCAAGTGATTTGCCCAAGGACTCATACAGCTGGTAGAAAGCAGAACCAGAATTTTAGTCCAGCTCTGTGTAGCAAATTCCATGCAAACATTTGTTGAACACCTATTATGTTTAAGATCCTATGCTAGATGCTGTGGGAGAATCAGAGAAGACTCAGATGTGGAACATAACCTCTTAGAGCTCCCTATCCACCGGAAGAGATAAGCACACGAATAACTAACACACAATGGAATGAAGTAAATGCGCTTCGACAGACACCCAGAGTGCAGGCATTTAGAGGAGAGCACAGGATAGGGGCCAAGGGTTTGGCCCTCTAAAGACTCGCTAAAAAATCAACTCATAAAAGGCAGATTAGCTGGTGAAAAGGCACACACATTTATTTAATGTGTGTACACAAGAGCCTTCAGAATGAAGACCCAAAGATACAGGGGAAATTGTTCATTTTTATGCTCAGGTTCAACAAAGTATGGACAGCCCCGTAGAAATATGATTGGACGAAAAGACTATGATCTAATGGTAATAAACACAGGGGAAACCCAGCAAGATCTGTCTATCTAGATGTTTCTTGGCCTCTCTGAGCCTGCATTTCTTCCTCTGGTTATGGGGTAAGGCCCTCTCTGGAATGAGACCTCTGGAATAATCTGCAGTCAAAAAACGTAAGTCACATAATTTCTTTATGACCAGTTTTTACACAGAACATTTCTAGGTTTTATGGCTGGCTTTCAAGAAAAAGTGTTCCGGTTTCTCTGACCCGCCTTGGGGAAGAGGGATTCTAGTTTCTATAGCTGGCCTGGAAGAGAATGGGATGGAGAGACAGGAGGGCAGGAGAACATCAGAGAAAACTTTTGCTTCTGAGGTTACTCCCAAGGCCTTCACTTTGCAGTACTGTTTTCTGAGCCCCAGTAACTGTCATACTCATTATTGGTGTGGGGAGAAGCGTGACAGGGAGTCAGGAATGGTTCCATGAAGCAGGTGGGATCTGAGGTAGCTTTGGCTGGTGGATAAGATGTAAACAGGCAGTGATTTGGAATAGGAAGGCCATGCACAGTTAAACGTATGGCAGGAGGACCAAGTAAGGCATATTCAGAAAGCATTGTTCAGATGAACCACCTGCTAAGCAGGATTTACGAGTGCCCACTCGGCTGGGTGCAGGGGCTGAGCACTTTGGGAGCCTGAGGCAGGCAGATCACTTGAGAACAGGATTTCGAGACCAGTCTGCCAACAAGGTGAAACCCCGTCTTTACTAAAAATACAAAAATTAGCCAGGCATGGTGGCACATGACTGTAATCCCAGCTACTTGGGAGGCTGAGGCAAGAGAATTGTTTGAACCCAGGAGGCAGAGGTTGCAGTGAGCCAAGATCACGCCACTGCACACTGCACTCCAGCCTGGGCAACAGGGTGAGACCCTGTGTCAAAAAAAAAAGAAAAAAACAGTGCCTACTAACCAACCCTTTGTATAATTAGATACTGCACGTACGGTAGAGGGAGCAGTTCAACAAAAGTATAAGTCATTTGGCCCTGCCAATGAAGACAACACAGCATAGAGGGGAGGAAAACAGAGGTTATCTCAGAGAGACCAGAGATAAGATCCTGGGTCCACTATTTAGTTGCAAGCCATACACTCTTGGACAGTAACAATTACTTGTAAAGCTGGGCTTCCTTCTATGTGAAATGGGAGGATGACGTTGAATCAGTGTATTGCAAAATGTCTAGCACAAAAGAGGGAAAGCAAACAAGTTTTCATCTCATCAGCCTGGACCAACCAGTCCAGGCTGCATGGAGCTCTAGGCTACATGGAGCTCTAAGGTAGATGGGATTCAGAATCTTTTGGTGTTTTTCCTTATTCTTGCTGTCATCTTAATGGATGCGTGCCATGATCAATTAGCGCTGTCTACTCAGAGCAAGGGGTAGACTGTGGTGTCACCTCTGCCACATATTTGGCAACAGGAGTAGAAGCTTTGAAAGTCCAATTTCCCTCTCCTTCCTTCCTAGAAGGCGCTGAGATATCAAAAGTTAAGTTACAACTAAGCGATTATAAAGATAAGACTAACACACACTATGGTTAGCAGACTACCAGACACAGCCGCTCTGTGTTTAACGCTCTGGCCAGACTGTATGTTAGGGCTGAAATTGGAGGTGGTCAGTAGTAGTGTGGACCAGAAAGTCTGAGATGACTTCATGGAGATGGGGTGTGAGGGATTGGACGGTGGAGGAATAGACCCCAGAAAGGGAGAACCGCATACCCAGAGGCCTAGAGGCAGGTCCATCTTTGGTGAATAAGGGAGGCAGCATGAAGATGGGCCTCATGGAGGGCAGGACGATCCCCGGGGAGTATTAGGAGGTGGACACTGGAGAAGTAGAGTGGACCATTTGGAGAGCCTTGAAATCAGGCCGAGATCTTAACTTGATGGGCAACAGGGATAGGAGTGAGGAATAGCACCATATTAGTTGGCTCAGGCTACCATGAGTCTGTGCTACCCACAGACTGGGTGGCTTAAGCAACAGAAATTTATTTTCTCACAGTTCTGGAGGCCAAAAGTCCAAGACCAAGGTGCCATTAGGGTTGGTGTGTGGTGAGGCCTCTCTTCTTGCAGGCAGCTGCCTTCTTACTGGGTCTTCTCAGGGTCTTTCTTCTGTGTGTGCTCAGAGACAGAGAGAGCTCTCTGATGTCTCTTTCTCTTCTTATAAAGATATCAGTCCTATCAGATGAGGGACCCACCCTTATGTCCTCATTTAACTTAAATTATGTCCCTAAAGATCCTATCTTCAAATATACTCACATAGGGTTAAGACCTCAGCATATGAATTTTGAAGGAACACAATTTAGTCCCTAATAGTCATATAGACTCTTTATTTTTTGGAAGGAATTGGACTTTTTAAATGGAAATATAGCTCAAATATGGCATTAAAGATACTTGCTCCAGGCCAAGTGCAGTGGCTAACGCCTATAATCCCAGCACTTTGGGAGGCCGAGGCAGGTGGATCATTTGAGGTCAGAAGTTCAAGACCAGCCTGGCCAACGTGGCAAAACCTCATCTGTACTAAAAATACAAAAATTAGCTGGGTGTGGTTGCTTGGGCCTGTAATTCCAGCTACTAGGGAGACTGAGGCAGGAAAATTGCATGAACCTGGAGGCGGAGGTTGCAGTGAACCGAGATCGTACCACTGCACTCCGGCATGGGTGACAGGAACAAGATTCCATCTAAAAAAAAAAAGATAAAAATATACTTGATTAAATTTTGGCATTTCTGGAATAGAGGGAAATATCTATGTTTAAAAAGACTTATATCGTATATTACATCTATCTGATGAGAAATAAACATGTATATAAAAGTTTCTAAGACCAGAAAGAAAAGTGCCTATGTTACAGTGAGGGAGATGGGGAGGTAAAAGATTATTTAAGGGGAAAAAAAATCAAGACCAAAGTATACCAAAATGATAATAGTCCATAACAATTAATTCAAATTCTACTGTAAGAGCTGTCCTTTCTCCTCCGTTTATTTCTTTGTTCAGTGTATTAGTCTGCTTTCATGCTGCTGATAAAGACATACCCAAGACTGGGCAATTTACAAAAGAAAGAGGTTTAATGGACTTACAGTTCCACGTGGCTGGCAAACCCTCACAATCACGGTGGAAGGCAAGGAGGAGCAAGTTACATTTTACATGGATGGCAGCAGGCAAAGAGAGAGAGATAGGTTGTGCAGGGGAATTCCTCTTTTTAAAACCATTAGATATTGTGAGACTTATTCACTATCACAAGAACAGCATGGGAAAGACTTGCCACCATGATTCAATTCCCTCCCACCAGGTCCCTCCCACAACATGTGGGAATTCAAGATGAGATCTGGGTGGGGGCACAGCCAAACCATATCATTCAGTTATTTATATCAGTACACACTCATGGACATGTATTTTATTCTACAAATTATAATCCAATACTGTCATTATTTACTTGGTTGTTCAGATTGACCACATCTAGCCATTGGGAGCTCCTTCATGTTGGCTTCTGTGTCCTATCAATGTGCCCCCATCACCTTATAGAGAACTTCTCACTATTTAGCATCACAATCTTGTTCCAGTCTTTTCTTAGAGTTTCCCTACCCCAGCCCTGGAATCACCCATTACTCTAAGAGGTACAGGGTTTTTTTTAACTGGAGAATGGTTTAGAAACCAGCATCTAGATATTAGCTGTGCTCATTGCTACTGGAATGTCATTGCTTCTAGACCTTATTAGCATAGTCAGAAAAAATATGTATATGTACATGTACCAATATCTATATACCTATTAACAACTATTAGTTAATATGGTTACCATCAATCAGTTTCAGGGCTCATTTTAGCATTCCCTTTTTTCATTTGTAATGTCTTTCTCTGACAGTAAGAAACCTGGCTTTCATTATCCACAATATATTTATTTATTTGTTCAATCCTACTAGCTTCAGCATCACTAACTCATATCCCCTTTGAAAAATAAATTTACTAACTAGAGGACAGTATTTGTGTAGAGTTCTTTTTCATCTGTAGCCTTGAAGTATATAGTCAAAATTCTGTTTCCCTACGTTATTTATGTTAGTTTTTTCCCTTTGGTGTGGTTATATTTTTCAGTAGTGATAGAGTTAGGTTCATTTGTTACTGTTAGTATCCCATTTGGATTCCTCCACATCCAGATTGGTTTGAATTATTTATTTTTTGAGTATGTGAACCATTAACATGATTCTAAAAGTCAAAGCTATACAGAAAGTTTCTGCTTTTGTCCATTTTTGTTCTTAGTTTTTGAATTTCTGGTTCATAGTGGTTTTTCATATCCCCAAATGCTGGCTTTAGTCTGTTTAAATAGTTTGGAGGAATGTCTTACAGTTTTCTTCGGCCTCATGGTGATTTTTCAGGGAGTAATTTTGTTTGTTTTTGTTTTTTGTTTTTTTGAGACAGAGTCTCACTCTGTCGCCCAGCATGGAGTGCAATGGCGCGATCTCAACTCACTGCAACCTCCGCCTCCCAGGTTCAAGTGATTCTCCAGCCTCGGCCTCCTGAGTAGCTGGGACTACAGATGCCCGCCACCACGCCTGGCCAATGTTTGTATTTTTAGTAGAGATGGGGTTTCGCCATGTTGGCCAAGCTGGTCTCCAACTCCTGACTTCAAGTGATCCACCTTCCTTGGCCTCCCAAAGTGCTGAGATTACAGGTGTGAACCACCATGCCCGGCCCAGGGAGTAATTTTTATGAGTTCAGGCATGTTGAATCTAGTTTTCTGATTTATATAATGACTCCGTATAGATTTATTCATTTTCCCCCTGTTCATTTCAGTGATCTGGGAGTGGTTTACCAGATGTCTAGTTCAATGGCACCTTTTCTACCAGTATAACAATGTCCAGGGTTTTAGTGGATTCTTTTTGGAGCTGAAGGGAGGGTTATATGCCATCTGATTTGGGGGGTTATTTTTTGTCTTGTAGAATCTTAAATGGTCCCTTTTTGTTTCTCGTCCCCTTCATCCCCAAGTTCCAGGGGACACCTCTCCTTTCCATCTCATGGAGACGATGGCACCTGCCATGTCACGTCATCTCTCAATGTTTCCTCCAAAACCAACCAAGAACAAGATGAAAGAATAAAGCAACACAAAAAACACACCCTCAGCATAACGTGAAGATAGGGAATGCCTAAGCTTCAAAATAACGTAAGAGAAGGAAGGAAGGCAGGCAGGCAGGGAGGGAGGGAGGGAGGGAGGGAGGAAAGGAAGAAAAGAAAAGAAAGAAGGACCCAGTGAGCAATCTTGCCCATCCTGCCTCACCACAAGGCTTTCCTGTGGGCATGGGCTGGCCTGGAAAAACTGGGGGACAGGAAGGGGGGAGCCAGCGACCAACCTAAGGCTGACCTAAAACTGCTGTCAAAAGAGCATGAAAATGCAAACCAATAAAGGGTGTCCCACTAGAATAGAGCATGGCATATCTTCTGGTGGATAAAAAGGGCAAAAAGGAAGAGAGACACACCCTTTGGCAATTGGACCCTCCCACAAGCCAAAAAAGAACCGAAACATCAGGAATACCTCACTAGAGATTCTTTAGCAAATGGAAGACTTGACATAATTATGACAGATTCAGACTTTTTTTCACAACTCAGTGATGAGACCCCCTCCTCCCACTTTTCCTTTTTCACCTCCTTCTTCTCGTCCCCCATTATCCAGCAGCAACCAGGCCTTTCTTTGCATTTTCTTCAGGAAGAGGTGAGGCTGCAGAAGGCTGGGGATGGGGGAACAAGAAGGAGTCTCTTACTGGCTTTTGATTTCAAAAATCTACTTATTTGGATCCTTCTTAAGAGAATGGAATAGACTCATAATTGAAGCAAAAGATTTGGGCAAAAACACGATGGAGATTCCTTTCTCCCCTCCCCACGCTCACTACCACCTCCCATCCTCAACTCCAACCAAAAACATATATAAAATATACATATAGTTTTTTCTAGGCTGGGAGGAGGGAGACAGTCAGGGGGAAAATTGTGAAAGCTGGGACATCAGTGGATCCTAAAGAAGGAATTCTCTACCCTCCCACTCTCAGGAGTCCAGAGGGGTGTGAAGTCCTAGAACACCTGTGGCCACTTCATAGGTAGAACTGCCTCTGGACTAGAGGTGAGACCCCAGACAAGAAATGGTTATGTGGCATGTGTAGATTTACGGTCTCAGAGCTTCCCCGTGTCCCAGCATGGTTCAGGAACAGTGCTACTGTGATTGCTGTGCGCGGAAGTCGTAATAGAGTCACCTTCCCTGAAGAGGTTAAGCAGAGAGGAATGAGGAACATCACCCAGGCAAGCACAGTGTTAGAGGTTTACAAGGTAAGTGTCTCCAGGAAAGGCAAAACCAATGCTCAATCTGACTGAGAACCAGACCATCCCCGGTGGATGTCTGCACGGCTGGACAACATCAAAGGCAAGATGGAAACCTGCAGGACCAGAATGTCATCCAAGGGAAGAGCAGGGAGAAATGATGAATATCTCTTTCCTGGCTGAGTGAACTTGATTGTGAAGTGGGGAGATCCAGTGGCCTCAGCCTCATGTGAGAGATTCAGAACGTGGCTCTGTAGCACTGCTTAGGGAGCCCGGGCAGGCAGGGGAGTGGGGGGATGAAATGCATTCCCCGTGAAAAGCAGCACTTGTTTGTGCTGCAGCATCTGAGCAGGACAGGAGAGGCCAGGAGAAGGGGATCCCACCACTCCTGGGATTCTCAACCTGATGAGCTGTTATCAGACCAGGCTGTGATGACAATAGACGTGATTACAGCTCTTCCTCTCTTCTCTTGGAGAAACAGCCCACTGCCAATCCCCTTTCTTTGTTGATTGCCCAGCAGCTAGATTCCTCCGTTTTACTAGAAGCTGAAGGGGGACCAAGGACAAGGAGAAAAGCAGAGATAAAGGGGAAAGAGACTGAGGCGGAAGAGCTCTGGGAGTAGGGCTCTTTCCTTTTTGGCTGGCTGGTTCCCAGAGGGTCCTCTGACTCTCATTCAAACAGCCCAGGCTGCCTGCATCCCTGGTAAAGTGGATATGCAATCACCCGGGCGCCAGCCGTAGCTGGCCCTTCACGTTCCTTGGAGCAGAGCGACCAGGACAGTTTGCTCCACGTAGGATGCAGATCACATTGTACCACCATGTGTTTGGTTACACGCCTACTTCTCCTATTCCAGGGGGGATCTTTTTTTTTTCTTTTGTATCTCCTTTTTTTCTCTAGGGCCCAGCTCCTTCTAAGTAGACAGGAAGTATTAATAAATACTACGTGAATAAATTACTTAACAAATATCTAACCAAGCCCAGCACATGGTGGCACATGCCTGTAGTCCCAGCACTTTGGGAGGCCAAGACAGGAGGATCGCTTGAGCCCAGGAGTTCAAGACCAGCCTGGGCAACATAGTGAGACCCTGTCTCAAAAAAAAAAAAAAAAACCTAGCCAATCTCTAGGACATGTCACCTTTCTTACCACATCTGAACTCACTTGGTGAGCTACTCAATAAAACTACTACCAAGAAAAGTAAGAATGCATGCCCTCCTCCAAAAAGAGAACATAGAAGGATAGAAGGAAGTAATCCCCAATCCAATGAGACAGTAATTGTCCCATTCTGGAGAATCAGGACAGTGCGGTCTCCTCCACAACAGAACCTCAGTTTTGTGGTCTAAATGTTTGTGTCTCCCACCCCCACAACTTCATATGTTGAAATCCTAACCCCCAAAATGATGGCATTAAGAAGCAGGGCCTTTGGGGGATGATTAGATCGTAAGGGTGTGGTCCTCATGAATGAGACTGGTTCCCTGATGAAAGAGGCCCCAGATAGCATTAGGAGATATACCTAATGTAAATGATGGGTTAATGGGGGCAGCACACCAACATGGCACATGTATACATATGTAACAAATCTGTACATTGTGCACATGTACCCTAGAACTTAAAGTATAATAAAAAATATATTAAAAAAAAAAAGAAAAGAAAGAGGCCCCAGAGAGCTAGCCTGACACGTCTACCGTGTGAGGACATGGTGAGAAGTCACCATCTACAAACCAGGAAATGGGCTCTCAATAGACACCAAATCTGTGAGTGCCTTTATCTTGGACTTCTTAGCCTCCAGAACTGTGAGAAATAAATTTCTGTTGTCTATAAACCACCCAGTCTGTGGTACTTTGTGATAGCATTCTGAGCAGACTAAGACCCTCAGTGTTTAATAACCTCCCTTTGGCTTCTCCCTCAAGGAATGACAACTCCTGCCGGAAAGGTCACCGAGTGGCCCTAGCACCTTGGGACTTAGACATGTGGTCTGCAGACCACAGCATCCACATCACTTGCACACTGCAGCATCCCGCACCGGGAGCTTGCTAGTGATGCAGAATCTCAGACTCCACCCGAGGCTTGCTGCAGGAAACTCTGCACTTAAAAAGGGGCCCGGTCCAGGCATGGTGGCTTATGCCTATGATACCAGTACATTGGGAGGCTGAGGTGGACAGATTACTTGAGCCCAGGAATTTGAGACCAGCCTGGGCAACATGGCAAGACTTTGTCTCTACAAAAAATGGAAACATTAGCCAGGTGTGGTGGTGCACACCTGTAGTCCCAGCTACTTGGGAGGCTGAGGTGGGAGGATTGCTTTAGCCTAGGAGTTCAGGAGCCTGGGAGGCTGCAGTGAACTGTGATCACACCACTGCACTCCAGCCTGGGTAACAGAGTGAGACCCTGTCTTAAAGAAAAGAAAAATAGAGGCCTGGATGATCCAAATGCATATTCAGGGCTGAGAAGCAAGGCCTCAGATTACAGTGTGATGGGGAGAGCCCCAAGAGGGGGTTAGCAGTGAGAAGACTAGTGAGGAGATTGAAAGTACTTTGGGCGGCAGATGATCATTGTATCTATTAATTCTTTAACCAATTATTATTCAAGAGTCAATGAAAGAAAAAACCAGAGAGACCTAGAGTACAACATGTGACATCTGGCGCCAAAACCAGCCTGCTGAATCCCACAGTGTGGTGCACTTGAGACTTTTTAGCATACAGACATTCACAGGTGATCTAGAAGGCCAGTGGGACTTTATCTACCTGTCACTTCCCTCACTAAGTCCTTGACTACTACCAGCTGTCCCTAGGAGGCTTTTCTTAACAACCCCAGCCCCACCCCCATCCTCCCTCCACAGGAGAAATTGACCATTTCCTCCTTTATTCCCAGCACAGAGTAGGCGCTCAATAATTGTGTGCCAAATAATGAAAGTGTTGTGCTAGCAGGCACGGATCAATTAGTGACTGTAATTGAAGCTGAATGTAATTAATTATATAATTTGGGGCTGTTCAAGTTTAATTCCACTAAAATTACCTCATGGAAACAGGGCATGAGGAAGGATTACAAATAAAAGGAAAAAAGCTATCAGTAATGCTTCCACACAGTAGGCACACATTTGAGTTGGATCCCTTGCTGTCTTAGTCAATTTGGGCTGCTATAACAAGAAAACCATAGACTAAGACCAGACACAGTGGCTGACACCTGTATTCCCAGCAATTTGGGAGGCTGAGGCAGGAGGTTAATTTGAAGCCAGGAGTTCATGACTACCCTGGACGACATAGTGAGACCCCATCTCTACAGAA
This sequence comes from Homo sapiens, assembly GCF_000001405.40. Classification (NCBI taxonomy): domain Eukaryota; kingdom Metazoa; phylum Chordata; class Mammalia; order Primates; family Hominidae; genus Homo; species Homo sapiens. The sequence goes on along the minus strand of NC_000014.9, from coordinate 77,953,447 downwards.
AATATTAGCTGGCCATGATGGCACATGCCTGTATTCCCAACTACTCAGGAGGCCAAGGCTGGAGAAACACTTGAGCCCAGGAGTTAGAGGCTGCAGTGAGCTATGATGGTGCCACTGCACTCTAGCCTGGGTGGTACAGCAAGGCCCCATCTGTTTAAAAAATTAAAATAAAAACATAAACTCATAGACTAGGTGGCTGAAACAACACATATTTATTTCTCATAGTTTTAGGGGCTGGGAAGTCCAAGATCAAGGCACCAGCAGATTCACTGTCTGGTGAGGGCCTGCTTCCTGGCTTATAGACAGCAGCCTGTTCATTATATGTCTAAAACAGAACTCATCTCTCTTTTAATTTTTTATTTTTGCAGATGGGGTCTTACTCTGTCACCCAGGCTGGACTACAATGGCACGATCATAGCTCACTTCAACTCCTGGGCTCAAGCAATCCTCCCTCCTCAGCTTCCCAAGTAGCTAGGACTACAGGCACATACCACTGTACCCTGCTAATTTTTTAAACTTTATATAGAGATGGGGTCTCACTATATTGCCCAGGCTGGTCGCGAACCCTTGGCCTCGAGCAAACCTCCCGCCTTGGCCTCCCAAAACCCTGGGATTACAGACATAAGACACCATGCCCAGCCTCCTGTGTCTTTTCTTAAAAGGGCACCAATCACATTGATGAGGGCTCCACTCTAACAACTCAATTACCTCACAAAGACACCAACTTCAAATACCATCACTTTGGGTTTTCAGGCTTCAACATACAAATTAGGAAAGACACAAACATTCAGTCTATAACACTTGCCAACAATACAAAATTCACAGAGTTGCATAACAAGGGAGTTCTGATCCTGAAGCCCATTTAGACATGAAGTCCAAAACCAAATACATTAGTACCCAGGTTATGCAGCAGTGGTCACTCTCAGCAGTGGACGTGCTCAATTTGGGAACATAAATTTACCTTGACCCATTTCTTTTTTTTTTTTCCATTGATACATTTCTTTCATTTTTGCCATCCGATATTCTTTTTTTTTTTTTTTTTTTTTTTTTTTTTTGAGATGGAGTTTCACTGTTGCCCAGCCTGGAGTGCTATGGTGCAATCTTGGCTCACTGCAACCTCCGCCTCCCAGGTTCAAGCAATTCTCCAGTCTCAGCCTCCTGAGTAGCTGGGACTACAGGTGCCTGCCACCACGCCTAGCTAATTTTGATATTTTTAGTAGAGATGGAGTTTCACCATGTTGGCCAGGCTGTTCTCGAACTCCTGACCTCAAGTGATCCACCCACTTCAGCCTCCCAAAGTGCAGGGGTTACAGGCATGAGCCACCGTGCCCAGCCACCATCCAATATTCTTAAGAATTTATAGCATGCTGAAGTTTACATCATGAAAATGACATATTAAAATTATTTATTTTGGGTTTTTTACTTTTCAACCTTATTCTGAAACTGTCCTCAGGGGTCAGCTGCCACTCAAATCCCCTGTAAATGTTTTTTCAGTTCATCCTCTAATCCTGGACACCTATTAAGGGCAATCGTCTCTAAAGTTCTTGGTTTGTGGAGGGATTTAATGATGGGAGATATGTTTTCTGAGACACTCTGTGCCTTGACCCATTTCCACCACTGAATGTTTTCCATTATTCATGCCACCTAATCTCCCTTCCACTCTCACAGACACAGACTATGTAAGAGTGAAAAAGGATCTTCAGGCATCTTTAGACCAGTAGTTTTTAGCCCAATCAGACCTAACACACCATTTTTACAACAAATGTTTGGTAATGTCCCCTTATGGTCCTGAAGTGAAATTCATAAAAATGGCAATGTACCCACACACATAATTGTTTAGTTTTTTATTGAGATGGGGTCCTGCTATGTTGCCCCAGGCTGGTCTTGAACTCCTGGGCTCAAGCAATCCTCCTGCCTCAGCCTCTCCAGTAGCCTGTGCCTGGCTACACATAATTTTTTTTTTTTTAAGATAGGGTCTGGCTCTGTCGCTCAGGCTGGAGTGCAGTGGCATGATCATGGCCTACTGCAGCCTGGACTTGCCTGGCTCAAGTGATCCTCCCACCTCAGCCTCCTGAGTAGCTGGGACAACAGTTGTGTGCTGCCACGCCTGGATAATTTTTTGTAATTTTGGTGGAGACAGGATTTCACCATGTCCCCCCAGGCTGGTCTTGAACTCCTAAGATCAAGTGATCTGCCCACCTCAGCTTCCCGAAGTGCTGGGATTACAGGCATAAGCCCCACTGCACCCAGACTGGCTACACATAATTCTTAAAGTCACATTGATACAGCAGGTTGCACTGGCCATTCAAGTGTGTAGGCTCTGCCTTGCCATTGGTTATGTGGTTTCCCAAAATGGTGAACAATAACTCCCACAGAAACAAATCATCCAACTTTCATGGTAATTGCATTCCTGAAAATTTCAACAGATACTAAAACCATGCAAAAAAATCCTTTGCCTTTACATGTAAAATGGAGTTAGGTTGTTGATTTAGTTCATTACAACCAGGATTTTTCACTACATGCATATCCGGTGGAGCATTTGGAAACCACACAGGTCACAGGAAAATTCTTTGTTGAGTGAGGCTGTATTGCCCACAGGAAGACATCTGGCATCCCTGACCCCACCCATTCAATGAGAGTAGCACTCCCCATCATTGTGATGGCCAAAAATGTCCCCGCACATTTCCAGAAAGTCCCTGGAGGCAGTACAACCCCCACTAAGAACAACTGATTTAACCCAATCTTCCTAATTTACAGGTGAGAAATCAGAAAACAGGCGAGGGGGAGATTTTCCCTAAGTGCCAGCATCAACAGTTCTCTGGACTCCCATCTGAGGATCCTTCCCAGCTCCATGAGGCAGCTTGCCAAGCTGAACACCGTGGGAGGAGACTGGACTCTTGCTCAGAGCTCTTTTGGGTTTCAGTGCAAATGACTCAGGAGGATTCCTATACCCCAGAAAATCAAACTCCTTACAAAAGAAAACACAGCTATAAGTGTTGGTGGGAAAGTCCTCTGAACTAGGAAATGTTATCGCATTAAATTAATCTTCCTAAATGAGCCCAAGATGTCTGCTCCACATCATCAGAAAGCTAGGAATGTTCTGGAATGGTGGAGAAATTAAGCAGAACATCCTCCTACCTTCATTTATGAGAGCCCTAAAACTATCCCAGATAAAGAAAGGCTCCCAGTTAGAGAGCAAAAACAGCAAGTAAGCACTACATGCCAACCCTGCTCAATCAGTAGCAGTTGACTGGTCTGCTGTGTTAGGTAGGATTCTGGGGTCCTGTCCTAGCTCAACCTGAAAGGGTGCAGTGATCAATATGTGGAGTCTGCTTTGGCCATGGTAAGGGTGGCAGCACCATGCCAGGCATTTGCCATGTCTCTTTTAGAACCCCAAACAAATCTGATTTACTTTCCTGGGACAAACGCTCACTCATTCTACCAATGCCGGTCTGTTTCATTCCATCAGTTTCCTTGTATAAAATCTGAGGCAAATGTCTCCTTTGTGATAGTTGACACTGTTGAACTGCGGGATAAACTGCTTTGCTATGTATGGTGGTACTAGGACCTCATCTCAGAATCTCACTCACTCATACGCTCAGTACGCACAAGTTGAGTGTCCGCTAGATGCCAGTCATTGGAAGTGGAGAGATTTAGCAAACCAGTGGTATTGCATATAAGAATAATTATTTTTCAAGGTTGCTAATTCATAAAATATTATGTGCCACACAAAACTTAACATTAATACCCACCATTTTTTTATCTGAAATTAACATACCCTCAGTTAAGGGACCAATAATGACAGTGTATAACAATTGATTATAATTAGTGTCTTGAATATTTATTGCTTGGACAGCTATATTTTGAGGAAAGTGTCTTTAAACAAAATAGCTAAATATTGGTTATCTTTAAAGTTCATTAAAGTTGCTAACTTAGAAAAAAAATCTAACAGAATATACAATAATCATTCACCAAAAGCTGCATGTTTAATAAATATTTATTAGAAACACAAAATTAAATCAAATGCTCTTTCATGAATTGGTTTTTAAAACCTTTAAAATGCCAAAGGGGGGACAAAGGCAAGGCAAGAAGTAATAGAAGGGTGAATGGCTCTAAAAATAATCAAAAATACTTGATTTTGGCCAGGCACAGTAGCTTATGCCTGTAATTCCAGCACTTGGGGAAGCCAAGGTAGGTGGATCACTTGAGGCTAGGAGTTTGAAACCGGCCTGGCAATATGGAAAACACCATCTCTACTAAAAATACAAAAATTAGTCATATGGGGTGGCACACACCTGTAATCCCCTCTACTCAGGAGGCTGAGGCACGAGAATCGCTTAAACCCAGGAGGCAGAAGTTCCAGTGAGACAAGATGCACTCCAGCCTGGGCTACAGAGCAAGACTCTGTCTTAAAAAAACAAAAACAAACTTGATTTTAAGTAAACTGGCCTTTGGGAGAATTGAACCTTAGGCAAACAAGTTTTTGGCAATGTGCTTATAGGCGAGTTGCCTTTAGGTGAAGAAGAACCAATTTGGTGGCAGAGGGGTAGGGGAAGGGGGAGGGGGAAGGAGGATAAGGGGCACAAGATAGGAGACCAGGAGACCTGTAAGGAGACCAGATCTCAGCCAGGTAGTGGGGAGGGAAGGAGGGGGTGGGGGTGGGGAAAGGGTTGCTGTATTAGTCAGCTCTCACACTGCTATAAAGAAATACCCAAGACTGGGTAATTTACAAAGGAAAGAGGTTTAATTGAGTCACACTTCCACATGGCTGGGGAGGCCTAAGGAAACCCACAATCATGGCAGAAGGCAAAAGGGAAGCAGCCACCTTCTTCACAAGGCAGCAGAAGAGAGAAGAGCGAAGGAGGAACTTCCAAAAGCTTATAAAACCATCAGATCTTGTGAGAACTCACTCACTATCACGAGAACAGCATGAGGGAAACCACCCCCATGATTGAATCACCTCCCTCCCTCAACACATGGGGATTACAATTCAAGATGAGATTTGGGTGGGAGCATAGAGCCAAACCATATCATTCCACGCCTGGCCCCTCCAAAATCTCATATCTTTTCACATTTCAAAATCAATCATGCCTTACCAACAATTCCCCAAAGTCTTAATTCATTTAAGCATTAACTCAAAATTCCAAGTCGAAAGTCTCATCTGAGACAAGGCAAGTCCCTTCTGCCTATGAGCCTGTGAAATCAAAAGGAAGTTAGTTACTTCCTAAATACAAAGGGGATACAGGCATTGGGTAAATGCTCCTGTCCCAAATGGGAGAAATTGGCCAAAACAAAGGGGCTGCAGGCCTCATGCAAGTCCAAAATCCAGCAGGGCAGTCATTACATCTAAAAGCTCCAAAATAATCTCCTTTGACTCTATTTCTCACATCAAGGGCATGCTGATACAAGGAGTGGGCTCCCACAGCCTTGGGCAACTCCTTCACAGGCTGGTGTTGAGTGCCTATGGCTTTTCCAGGCACATAGTACAAGCTGTTGGTGGATCTACAGGGGTCTGAAGAACAGTGGCCCTCTTCTCACAGCTCCCCTAGGCAGTGCCCCAGTGGGGACTCTGTGTGGGGGCTTCAACTCCACATTTCCCCTTTGCACTGCCCTAGCAGAGGTTATCCATTAGCGCTCCACCCCTGCAGCAGACCTCTGCCTGGACATCCAGCCATTTCCATATGTCCTAGGAAATCTAGGTGGAGGTTCCCAAACCTCAATTCTTGACTTCCGTGCACCCGCAGGCCCAACACCATATGGAACCGGCAAGGTGTGGGGTTTGCACCCTCTGAAACAATGGCTCAAGCTGTACCTTGGCCTCTTTAGCCATGGCTGGAACTGGAGCTGCTGGGACACAGGGCAGCAAATCCCAAGGCTGCACACAGGCAGGGCCTTGGGCCTGGCCCACAAAACCATTTTTTCCTCCTAGGCCTCCAGGTCTGTGACGGGATGGCTGCCACCAGAATCTCTGACATGCCCTGGAGATATCTTCCTCATTGTCTTGGTGATTCACATTTGGTTCCTCATTATTTATGCAAATTTCTGCAGCCAGCTTGAATTTCTCCCCAGAAAATGTGTTTTTCTTTTCTATTGCATGCCAGGCTGCAAATTTTCCAAACTTTTATGCTCCACTTCCTTTTTAAACATATGTTTCCATTTCAGATCATCTCTCTCAAATTCAAAGTGACACATATCTCTAGGGCAGGGGCAAAATGCCACCAGTATCTTTGCTAAAGCATAGCAAGAGTCATCTTTGCTCCAGTTCCCAAGAAGTTCCTTATCTCCATCTGAGGCCACCTCAGCCTGGACTTCATTGTCCACATCATTATCAACATTTTGGTCAAAATGATTCAACAAGTCTCTAGGAAGTTCTAAACTTTCCCACATCTTCCTGTCTTCTTCTGATCCCTCCAAACTGTTCCAACCTCTACCCATCACCCAGTTCCAAAGTGGTTTCCACATTTTCAATTATCTTTATAGTAATGCCCCACTCTCCATAGTACCAGTTTTCTGTATTAGCCCATTTTTCACACTGCTATAAAGAAATACCTGAGACTGGGTAACTTACAAAGAAAAGAGGTTTAACTGACTCACAGTTCCACGTGGCTGGGGAGGCCTCAAGAAACTTACAATCATGGCAGAAGGTAAAGGGGAAGCAAAGCACCTTCTTCACAAGGCAGCAGGAGAGAAAAGTGAGAAGGAGGAACTTCCAAACACTTATAAAACCAACAGATCTCATGAGAACTCACTCACTAGCATGAGAACAGCATGGAAGAAACCACTCCCATGATCCAGTCACCTCTTTTCCTCAACACATAGGGATTACATGTGTCAGGGAGATGAGATCTTGGTGAGATCACAGAGCCAAACCATATCAGTTGCTATAAAGGTCAAGGAGAGGTGTAAAGACTGACTCTTCTGGCTTCTGGACCACATGACTGCTGGTGGCACCATCCACTGAGATAATGAAAGCAGGTCTCCTGGTCAAAATGAAATTCTGGGAGATCCTGGCACTAAAGAGAAATATAGAGATGGTCTCCTCAAATCTTTCTTCCAGATAGGGCTGCTGACTAGCACACTGGTCCCCAAGAGTTGTCTAAATCCCTTTCTCTCCTCCCAGACTCCAGGCTCCTGGCTCACCCCTGCATCCCTTCATCAGGGACTACAGTTCCTTAAGGCAGGCACTGTGCCAGATTCATCCTGTCTCTCCACTTCCCTCTCCTATAAATGGGCACTGAAATGGATTGAGGCATACATAAATGGCCACACAATGAATGAAAGGCTGACTACAGCCTCCACTATCATGGTGTAAAAAGGCATGCAAGAGACAAGGAAGAAACAACCCTTGCTCTCCAAGGACTACACCAGGCAGGTAGACAGTTGAGTGTGGAAGGTGGGAGCGGAGAGAAGTGTCCAGAGAACCAGGATGGGAGGCAGTAAGGGCAGAGTGGTCTTGGAGGTTCCCCATAGAAGGCAGGATTTGAGACTTGTCACCACTACAGAAAGCAAAGAGCCAGACCATAGATATGGGTGAGCCTGGTGTCTATAAATCACCAAGACCAGCCTGTTCAGGAATCTCTAAATGATGGCATAACCAGGGACAGAGAGAGAGAGGTGACAACCCTCACCCTCACTCAAGCTCTCACTTTACTCAACCACACATATGAGATTAAGAAGAACAGAGCGGGAAAGAGAGGTTTCCACACAACACAATTACAATCCAAGTTCCCAAATTTGTCCCTGGTTCAGTATGGCTCCTAAGAACCAGCCAGCCTCGCTTGTAGGCAGATAGAGAACACCCATGTGAGACTGTCCTTATGTTACATGCTCCCAGGGATGTCTATATCTAACTAATACTGTGATTAAGAAAACAGCTCCTGGCAACTCTCTGGGGGTGACCAGTGTGGACAGTAACTAGCAGAATCAATAAGAGAAATTAAGCCTATTCCAGCTAAATAGCCAGCTCTAAGAACCCCATGGGTCATTTGAACACAGGCATCATTTGACAAAAATATATCCACACAACTGGCATCCAGCCAGAATTACATGGGCCTTTCTGCTTTTTTTTTTCTTTCTGCTGTTTTTGACCAGAAAATGGAGAATATAAAGTAACTGATCAGTAGCCCTTACTCTCATAATCTCAACAACAGCAATAAGAACTCATTGCAATTTAACCCTGTTTGCTCTTATTCAGCTCTCTGGAGAGTGTCCAGTCTGTTGATGTCTTTTTATTTTCTATCCCTGTAGACATATGAAGATTTTCCTCTAGACTTCTCCAGGCTCTCACAGTTCCCAGATGGATCCAGGGCCCTTAAAGATAATAGCTGCAATGCTCAGGGCTCTTTCAGTTAAAAATCAGATAACCAATTTAAAGTAATTTACACAAAAAAATGGGGGTGTG